>NC_000007.14:60878234-61063378 GCF_000001405.40 Homo sapiens
GAAGACTTCAAAGCGCTCCAAAGATGTAAATGCAGATTCTACAAAAAGAGTGTTTCAAAACTTCTCTGTCTGAAGGAAGGTTCAGTTCTGTGAGTTGAATGCACACATCACAAAGGACTTTCTGACAATGCTTCCATCTAGTTTTTAGGTGAAGATATTCCTATTTCAAATGAAGGCTTCCATTCGGTACAAATATCTACATGCACATTCTACAAAAAGAGTGTTTCCAAACTGCTCTATCAAAAGGAAGGTTCAACTGTGTGAGTTGAATGCACACATCACAAAGTGGTTTCTGAGAATGCTTCTTTCTAGTATTTATATGAAGCTATTCCCGTTTCCAACGAAGGATTCAAAGAGCTCCAAATATCCTCCTGCAGACTTAATAAAAAAGGGCTTCCAAACTGCTCTATCAAAAGTAAAGTTCAACTATGTGAGTTGAATGAACACAACACAAAGAAGTTTCTGAGAATGCTTCCATCTAGTTTTTATGTGAAGATATTTCCTTTTCCACCATAGCCTTCAAAGCGCTCCAAATGTCCACTTGCAGATTCGACAAAAAGAGTGTTTCCAGACTGCTCTATCAAAAGAAAGGTTCAACTATGGGAGTAGAATGCACACATCACAAAGTCGCTTCTGAGAATGCTTCTGTCTAGTTTTTATCTGAAGATATTTCCTTTTCTACCACAGGCCTCAATGCACTCAAAATACCCACTTTTAGATTCTACAAACAGAGTGTTTCAAAACTGTTCTATCAAAAGGAACGTTCAAATCTGTGAGTTGAATGCAAGCATCACAAAGAAGTTTCTGAGAATGCTTCTGTCTAGTTTTTATGTGAAGATATTCCCATTTCCAATGAAGGCTTCAAAGAGCTCAAAATATCCTATTGCAGATTGTACAAAAAGAGTGTTTCAAAACTGCTCTATCAAAAGGAAGGTTCAATTCTGTAAGTTGAATGCACACATCACAAATAAGTTTGTGAGAATGCTTCTGTCTAGTTTTTATGTGAAGATATTCCCGTTTCCAACAAAGGCTTCAAAGCGCTCCAAATATCCACCTGCTGATGCTACAAAAAGAGTGTTTCAAAACTGTTCTATAAAAAGAAAAGTTCAGCTCTGTGGGTTCAATGCACACAACAGAAAGAAGTTTCTGAGAATGCTTCCATCTAGTTTTTAAGTGAAGATATTCCAGTTTTCAATGAAAGCTTCAAAGTGCTCCAAATATCCACTTGCAGATTCTACAAAAAGAGTGTTTCAAAACTGCTCTATCGAAAGTAAAGTTCTACTTTGTGAGTTGAATGCACACATCAAAATGAATTTTATGAGAATACTTCTGTCTACTTTTTATGTGAAGATATTTCCTTTTCGACAATAGCTGTCAAAGCCCTCCAAATGCACACTTGAAGATTCTTCACAAAGACTGTTTCCAATCTGCTCTATCAGAAGAAAGTTTCAACTGTGAGAGTAGAATGGACACATCACAAAGTAGTTTCTGTGAATGCTTCTGTCTAGTTTTTGTATGAAGATTCAATTCTGTGAGTTGAATGCACACATCACAAAGAAGTTTCTGAGAATGCTTATGTCTAGTTTTAATGTGAAGATATTTCCTTTTCCACTACAAGCCTAAAAGAGCTCCAAATGTCCAACTGCAGATTCTATAAAAAGAGTGTTTCAAAACTGCACTATCAAAAGAAAGGTTCAGTTCTGTAAGTTGAAAGCACACATTGCAAAGAAATTTCTGAGAATGTTTCTGTGTAATTTTTATGTGAAGATATTCCCGTTTCCAATGAAGGTTTCAAAGCGCTCCAAATATACACCTGCAGATTCTACAAAAAGAGTGTTTCAAAACTGCTCTATCAAAAGGAAACTTCAACTCTTTGAGTTGAATGCACTCATCACAAAGAAGTTTCTCAGAATGCTTCTGCCTAGTTTTAATATGAAGGTATATCCTTTTCCACGGAAGGCCCCAAAGAGCTCCAAATGTTCACCTGCAGATTCTACAAAAAGAGTGTTTCAAAACTGCTCTATCAAAAAGAAGGTTGAAATCTGTGAGTTGAATGCACACATCACAAAGAAGTTTCTGAGAATGTTTCTGTCTAGTTTTTATGTGAAGATATTCATGTTTCCAACGGAGGCTTCAAAGTGCTCCAAATGTCCACATGCAGATTCTACAAAAAGAGTGTTTCTAAACTGCTCTATTAAAAGAAAGGTTCAACTCTGGGAGTAGAATACAGTCATCACAAAGTGGTTTCTGAGAATGCTTCAGTGTAGATTTTATATGAAGATTTTTCTTGTTCTACCGTAGGTCTCAAAGCAGTCCAAATTTCCACTTGCAGATTCTACAAAAAGAGTGTTTCAAAACTCCTCCATCTAAGGGAAGGTTCAGCTCTGTGAGTTGAATGCACACATCACAAAGAAGTTTCTGAGAATGTTTCTGTCTAGTTTTTATATGAAGATATGCCCATTTCCAACGAAGGCTTCAATTCGCTCCAAATATCCATATGCACATTCTACAAAAGAGTGTTTCAAAACTGCTCTATCAAAAGGAACGTTAAACATTGTGAGTTGAATGCACACATCACAAAGTAGGTTCTCAGAATGCTTCTCTCTAGTTTTTATGTGAAGATATTCCCATTTTCAATGAAGGCTTCAATTCGCTCCAAATATCCACTTGCAGATTCTACAAAATAAGTATTTCAAAACTGCTCTATCAAAACGAAGGTTCAACGAAGTTGAAAGCACACATCACAAACTGGTTTCTGAGAATGCTTCTTTCTAGTTTTTATGTGAAGATATTCCCGTTTCCAATGAAGGATTCAAAGAGCCCCAAATATCCACCTGCAGATAATACAAAAAAAGTTTTTCAAAACTGCTCAATCAAAAGGAAGTTTCAGCTCTGTAAGTTCAATGCTCGCATCAAAAAGAAGTTTCTGAGAATGTTTCTGTCTAGTTTTTATGTGAAGATATTCCTGTTTCTAATGAAAGCTTCAAAGCGCTCCAAATGTCCACTTGCAGACTCTACAAAAAGACTGTTTCAAAACTTCTCTATAAAAGGAAGGTTCTACTTTGGGGGTTGAATGCACACATCAAAATGAAGTTTCTGAGAGCACTTCTGTCTAGTTTTTATGTGAAGATATTTCCTTATCCACAATAGTCCCCAAAGCCCTCAAAATGCCCACTTGAAGATTCCTCAAAAAGACTGTTTCAAAACTGCAGTATCAGAAGAAAATTTCAACTATGTGAGTAGAAAGCACACAGCACAACGAAGTTTCTGAGAATGTTTCCTTCTAGCTTTTATGTGAAGATATTTCCTTTTCCTCCATAGGCCTCAAAGCACACTATATATCCACTTACAGATTCTACAAAAAGAGTGTTTCAACACTGCTCTATCAAAAGAAGGGTTCAACTCTCTGAGTTGAACGTACACATCACAAAGAAGTTTCTGAGAATGCTTCTGCTAATTTTTATGTGAAGATATTCCCGTTTCAACCATAGGCCTCAAAGCCCTCCAAATGTCCACTTGCAGGTTCTACAAAAAGACTGTTTCAAAACTGCTCTATCAAAAGGAAGATTCAACTGTGTGAGCTGAATGTACACATCACAAAGAAGTTTCTGAGAATGCTTCTGTCTAGTTTTTATGTGAAGATATTCCCGTTTCCACCAAAGGCCTCAAAGCGCTCAATATATCGACTTGAAGATTTTACAAGAAGAGTTTTTCAAAACTGCTCCATCAAAAGGAAGCTTCAACTCTGTGTGTTGAATGCATAAATCACAAAGAAGTTACTGTGAATTCTTCTCTCTAGTTTTCAGGTGATGTTATTCCCGTTTCCAACGACGGCCTCAAAGCGGTCCAAATATCAACTTGCAGATGCTACAAAAAGAATGGTTCAAAACTACTCTATTAAAGAAAAGGTTCAGCACCGTGAGTTGAATGCTCACATCACAATGAAGTTTCTGAGAATGGTTCTGTCTAATTTTATGTGAAGATATTGCCGTTTCCAATGAAAGTCTCAAAGCGGCCCAAATATCCACTTACAGATGCTACAAAGAGTGTTTCAATACAGCTCTATGAAAATGTGTGTACAAATGTGTCAGTTGAATGCACACATCGCAAAGTAATTTCTGATAATGCTTCTGTCTAGTTTTTATGTGAAGATATTTCCTTTTCCACCACAGGCCTCAAAGCTCTCCAAATGTCCACTTGCAGATTCCACAAAAAGAGTGTTACAAAGCTGTTCTATCAAAAGAAAGCTTCAACTCTGTGAGTTGAATGAACACATCACAAAGTAGTTTCTGAGAATGCTTCTGTCACGATTTTATATGAAGATATTTACTTTTCCACCACAGGCCTCAAAGTGCTCCAAATGTCCACTAGCAGATTGTACAAAAAGAGTGCTTCAAAACTGTTCTATCAAAAGGTATGTTCAACTCTGTGAGTTGAATGCACACAACACAAAGAAGTTTCTGAGAATGCTTCTGTCTAGTTTTTATGTGAAGATATTCCCGTTTCCAACGAAGGCCTCAAAGTCCTCAAATTGCTCTGTATATCCAATTGTAGATTCTACGAAAAGAGTGTTTCAAAACTGATCTATCAAAAGAAAGTTTCAACTCTGTTGGTTGAATGTGCACATCATTAAGTACTTTCGAAGAATGCTTCTGTCTAGTTTTTATATGAAGATATTTTCTTTTCTTCCATAGACCTCAAAGCACACCATATATCAACTTGCAGATTCCACAAAAAGAGTGTTTCAACACTGCTCTATCAAACGAAAGTTTCAACTCTGTGAGTTGAGTGCACACATCACAAAAAAGTTTCTGAGAATGCTTCTGTCTAATTTTTAGGTGAAGTTATTCCCGTTTCAACCATAAGCCTCAAAGCCCTCCAAATGTCCACTTGCAGTTTCTACAAAAATAGTGTTTCAAATCTGCTTTATCAAAAGGAAGGTTCAACTATGTGAGTTGAATGCACACATCACAAAGAAGTTTCTGAGAATGCTTCTGTCTAGTTTTTATGTGACGATATTCCCGTTTCCACCAAAGGCCGCAAAGCACTCAATATATCCACTTGCAGATTCTACAAAAAGAGTGTTTCAAAACTGCTCTAACAAAAGGAAGCTTCAACTCTGTGTGTTGAATGCACAAATAACGACGAAGTTACTGAGCATTCTTCTCTCTAGTTTTCAGGTGATGATATTCCCGTTTCCAACGAAGGACTCAAAGTGGTCCAAATATCAACTTGCAGATGCTACAAAAAGAGTGTTTTAATACTACTCTATTAAAAGAAAGGTTGGACACTGTGAGTTGAATGCTCACATCACAAAGAACTTTCTGAGAATGGTTGTGTCTAATTTTATGGAAAGATATTGCCCTTTCCAATGAAAGCCTCAAACCTGCCCAAATATCCACTTGCAGATATTACAAAAAGAGTGTTTCAGAACTGCTCTATGAGAAGGTGTGTTCAAATGTGTGAGTTGAATGCACACATCACAAAGAAGTTTCTAAGAATGTTTCTGTTTAGCTTTTATGTGAAGATATTTCCTTGTCCACCATAGGCCTCAAAGCTCTCCAAATGTCCACTTGCAGATTCCACAAACAGAGTGTTACAAAGCTGTTCTATCAAAATAAAGCTTCAACTCTGTGAGTTGAATGAACACATCACAAAGTAGTTTCTGAGAATGCTTCTGTCTCGATTTTATATGACGATATTTACTTTTCCACCACAGGCCTCAAAATGTTCCAAATGTCCACTTGCAGATCCTAGAAAAAGAGTGCTTCAAAACTGTTCTATTAAAAGGTATGTTCAACTCTGTGAGTTGAATGCATACATCACAAAGAAGTTCCTGAGAAGGCTTCTGTCTAGTTTTTATGTCAAGATATTCCCGTTTCCAACGAAGGCCACAAAATGTCCCAAATATCAACTTGCAGATTATACAAAACGAGTGTTTCAAAACTGCTCTATCAAAAGAAAGGTTCAACTCTGTGAGTTGAATGCACACATGGCCAACTGCTTCTGTCTAGTTTTTATATGAAGATATATCCTTTTCTACCAAAGGCCTCAAAGCTCTCTATATATCCACTTGCAGATACTACAAAAAGAGTGTTTCAAAACCGCTCTATGAAAAGGTGAGTTCAAATGTGTGAGTTGAATGCACACATCACAAAGAAGTTTCTGAGAATGCTTCTGTCTAGTTTTCATGTGAATATATTTCCCTTTCCACCATAGGCCTCAAAGTCCTCCAAATGGCCACTTGCAGATTCTACAAAAAGAGTGTTTCCAAGCTGCTCTATCAAAAGAAAGGTTCAACACTGTGAGTTGAATGCACACATCACAAAGTGGTTTCTGAGAATGCTTCTGTCTAGTTTTTTTGTGAAGATATTCCCATTTCCAACAAAAGCCTCAAAGCTATCCAAATATCAGCTTGCAGATTATACAAAACGAGTGTTTCAAAACTGCTCTATCAAAAGAAAGGTTCAGCTCTTGAGTTGAATGCACACATCACCAAATGCTTCTGTCTAGTTTTGATACGAAGATATTTCCTTTTCTACCTAAGGCCTCAAAGCACTCTACATACCCACTTGCAGATTGTACAAAAAGAGTGTTTCAAAACTTCTCTATCAAAAGAAAGGTTTAACTCTTTGAGTTGAGTGCGTGCATCACAAAGAAGTTTCTGAAATGTTTCTGTCAACTTTTTATGTTAAGATATTCCCATTGCCACCGAATGCCTCAAAGTGCTCCGTATATCCACTTGCAGATTCTACGAAAAGAATGTTTCAAAACTGCTCTATCAAAAGAAAGTTTCAACGTTGTGAGTTGAATGTACACATCGTTAATTAGTGTCTGATAGTGCTTCTGTCTAGTTTTTATATGAAGATATTTCCTTTTCTTCCATAGACCACATAGTGCTTCATATATCCACATGCAGATTCTACAAAAAGAGTGTTTCAACACTGCTCTATCAAAGGAAGGTTCAAATCTGTGAGTTGAATGAAGACATCACATAGTAGTTTCTGAGAATGCTTCTGTCTAGTTTTTATATGAAGATATTTCATTTTCTACCATAGGCCTCAAATCGCTCCATATATCCACTTGCAGGTTCTAAAAAAGAGTGTTCCACAACTGCTCTATCAAAAGGAAGGTTCAACTATGTGAGTTGAATGGACACATCACAAAGAAGTTTCTGAGAATGCTTCTGTCTAGTTTTTAGGTGAAGATATTCCCGTTTCAAAAGTAAGCCTCAAAGCCCTCCAATATCCACTTGCAGAATCTACAAAAAGAGTGTTTCAAAACGGTTCTATCTAAAGGAAGGTTCAACTCTGTGAGCTGAATGCACACATCACAAAGAAGTTTCTGAGAATGCTTCTGTCTAGTTTTTAGGTGAAGATATTCCTGTTTCAACCATAGGCCTCAAAGCCCTCCAAATATTCACTTGCAGATTCTACAAAAATAGTGTTTCAAAACTGCTCTATCAAAACAAAAGTTCAACTCTGTGAGCTGAAGGCACACATCACAAAGAAGTTTCTGAGAATGCTTCTGTCTAGTTTTTAAGTGAAGATATTCCCCTTGCCATCGTAGGCCTCAATACCCTCCAAACATCCACTAGCAGATTCTACAAAAAGAGTGTTTCAGATCTGCTCTATCAAAAGAACGGTTCAACTCTGTGAGTTAAGTGCACACATCACAAAGAAGTTTCTGAGAATGCTTCTGTCTAGTTTTTATGTGAAGATAATCCTGTTTCCACTGAAGGCCTCAAAGGGCTCCATATATCCACTTGCAGATCCTTCAAAAAGAATGTTTGCAAACTGCTCTATCAAAAGAAAGGTTGAACTCTGTGAGTTGAATGCACACATCAAAAAGTAGTTTCTGAGAATGATTCTGTCTAGTTTTTATATGAAGATATTTCTTTTCCACCACAGGCCTCAAAGTGCTCCAAATGTCCACTTGCAGATTATACAAAAAGAGTGTTTCAAAACTGCTCTATCAAAAGAAAGGTTCAACTCTGTGAGTTGAAAGCACACATCACAAATAGTTTCTTAGAATGCTTCTGTCTACTTATTATATGAAGATATTTCCTTTTCTTCCATAGGCCTCAAAGTGCTCCATGTATCCACTTGCAGATTCTACAAAACTAGTGTTTAAAAACTGCTCTATCAAAAGAAAGGTTCAGCTCTGAGAGTTGAATGCCCACATCAGTAAGTAGTTTCTAAGAATGCTTCTGTCTAGTTTTTATATGAAGATATTTCCTTTTCTTCCATAAGCCTCAAAGCGATCCATATATCCACTTGCAGATTCTAAAAAAAGATTGTTTCATAACTGCTCTATCAAAAGGAAGTTTCAACTCTGTGAGCTGAATGCACACATCTCAAAGAAGTTTCTGAGAATGGTTTTGTCTAGTTTTTATGTGAAGATATTCCCCTTTCCGCCGAAGTCTTCAAAGCACTCAATATATCCACTTGAAGATTTTACAAAAAGACCGTTTCCAAACTGTTCTATCAAAAGGAAGCTTCAACTCTGTGTGTTCAATGAAAAAATCACAAAGAAGTTACTGCGAATGCTTCTCTCTAGTTTTCAGGTGGTGATATTCCCATTTCCAAAGAAGGCCTAAAAGCGGTCCAAATATCAACTTGAAGATGCTATTAAAAGGGTGTTTCAAAGATACTCTATGAAACGAAATGTTCAACACTGAGTGTTTAATGTTCCCATCACAAAGAAGTTTCTGAGACTGGTTCTGTCTAATTTTATGTGAAGATATTGCCATTTCCAATGAAAGCCTCAAACCGGCCCAAATATCCAGTTGCAGATATTACAAAAAGAGTGTTTCAAAACAGCTCTATGAAAAGGCGTGTTCAAATGTGTGAGTTGAATGCACACATCACAAAGAAGTTTCTGAGAATGTTTCTGTCTGGTTTTTATGTGAAGATATTTCCTTTTCCACCATAGGCCTCAAAGCTCTCCAAATGGCCACTTGCAGATTCTACAAAAAGAGCTTTTCAAAACTGCTCTATCGAATAGAAGGTTCAACTCTGTGTGTTGAATGCACACAACACAAAGAAGTTTTTGAGAATGCTTCTGTCTAGTTTTTAGGTGAAGATATTCCCGTTTCCACAGGAGGCCTCAAAACCCTCCAAATATCCTCTTGCATATTCTACAAAAAGAGTGTTTCAAAACTGCTCTATCAAAAGAAAGGTTCAACTCTGTTTGTTGAGTGTGCACATCAAAAAGAAATTGCTAAGAATGTTTTCTGTCTAGTATTTATGTGAAGATATTCCCGTTTCCACTGAAGGCCTCAAAGCGCTCCATATATCCACTTGCAGATTCTATAAAAAGAGTGTTTCAGAACTGCTCTATCAAAGAAAGGTTCAACTCTGTGAGTTGAATGCACACATCACTAAGTAGTTCCTGAGAATGCTTCTGTCTATTTTTTGTATGAAGGTATTTCCTTGTCTACCATAGGCCTCAAAGTGCTCCATATATCCACCTGCAGATTCTAAAAAAAGAATGTTTCAAAACTGCTGTATCAAAAGAAATGTTCAACTCTGTGAGCTGAATGCACACAACAAAAAGAAGTTTCTGAGAAACCTTCTGTGTAGTTTTTATGTGAACGTATTTCCTTTTCCAACATAGGTTTCAAAGGGAACAAAATATCCACTTGCAGATTCTACAAAGGAGTGTTTGAAAAGAGCTGTATCAAAAGAAATGTTCAACTCTCTGAGTTGAATGCACACATCACAAAGAAGTTTCTGAGAATGCTTCTGTCTAGTCTTTATGTGAAGATATTTCGTTTTCCAACATAGACCTCACAGGGAACAAAATATCCACCTGCAGATTCTCCAAAAAGAGCGTTTCAAACTGCTCTATCAAAAGAAAGGTTCAACTCTGTGAGTTGAATGCACACATTACAATCAAGTTTCTGAGAATGCTTCTGTCTAGTTATTATGTGAAGATAATTCCTTTTCCATCATAGGCCTCAAAGGGCTCAAAATGCCCATTTGCAGATTATACAAAAAGAGTGTTTCAAAACAGCTGTATCAAAGGAAAGATCCATTTTTGTGAGTTGAATGTGCACATCACAAAAGAGTTTCTGAGAATGCTTCTCTCTAGTTTTTATGTGAAGATATTTCCTTTTCCACCATAGGCCTCAAAGCGCTCCAAATATCAACTTGCAGATTGGACAAAGAGAGTGTTTCAAAACTGCTCTATCAAAAGAAAGGTTCAACTCTGTGAGTTGAATGCACACATCACAAAAAAGTTTCTGAGAATGCTTGTGTCTTTTTTTATGTGAAGATATTTCTTTTTCCAACATAGACCTCAAAGGGAACAAACTATCCCCTTGCAGATTCTACCAAAATGGTGTTTCACAACTGCTGTGTCAAAAGAAATGTTCAAATCTGTGAGTTGAATGTACCAATTACAAGGAAGTTTCTGAGAATGTTTCTGTCTTGTTTTTATATGAAGTTATTTCCTATAGGACTCAAAGTGCTCCAAATATCCATTTCCATGTTCTACAAAATGAGTGTTTCAAAACTGCTCTATCAAGAGAAAGTTTCAACTCCTTGAGATGAATGCACACATCACAAAGAAGTTTCTGAGAATGCTTCTGTCTATTTTTGATGTGAAGATATTTTCTTTTCCAACATAGGCCTCAAAGGGAACCAAATATCCACTTGCAGATTCTACAAAACGAGTGTTTGACAACTCCTCTATCCTACCCATGTGCATGGAATGTTCTTCAATTTGTTTGTATCCTCTTTTATTTCCTTGAGCAGTGGTTTGTAGTTCTCCTTGAAGAGGTCCTTCACCTCCCTTGTATTTTATTCTCTTTGAAGCAACTATGAATGGGAGTTCACTCATGATTTGGCTCTCTGTTTGTCTGTTTTTGGTGTGTAAGAATGCTTGTGATTTTTTTTACATTGATTTTGTGTCCTGTGACTTTGCTGAAGTTGCTTTTCAGCTTAAGGAGATTTTGGGCTGAGACAATGGGGTTTTCTAGATATACAATCATGTCGTCTGCAAACAGGGACAATTTGACGTCCTCTTTTCCTAATTGGATACCCTTTATTTCCTTCTCCTGCCTAATTGCCCTGGCCAGAACTTTCAACACTGTGTTGAATGGGAGTGGGTAGAAAGAATCAATATCGTGAAAATGGCCATAAGGCCCAGGGTAATTTACAGATTCAATGCCATCCCCATCAAGCTACCAAAGACTTTCTTCACAGAATTGAAAAAAACTACTTTAAAGTTCATATAGAACCAAAAAAGAGCCCACGTCACCAAGTCAATCCTAAGCCAAAAGAACAAAGCTGGAGGCATCACACTACCTGACTTCAAACTATACTACAAGGCTACAGTAACCAAAACAGCATGGTACTGGTACCAAAACAGAGATAGAGATCAATGGAACAGAACAGAGCCCTCAGAAATAATGCCACATGTCTACAACTATCTGATCTTTGACAAACATGAGAAAAAGAAGCAATGGGAAAGGATTCCCTATTTAATAAATGGTGCTGGAAAAACTGGCTAGCCATATGTAGAAAGCTGAAAGTGGATCCCTTCCTTACACCTTATACAAAAATCAATTCAAGATGGATTAAAGACTTAAACATTAGACTTAAAACCATAAAAACCCTAGAAGAAAACATAGTCATTACCATTCAGGACATAGGGATGGCCAAGGACTTCATGTCTAAAACTCCAAAAGCAATGACAACCAAAGCCAAAATTGACAAATGGGATCTAATTAAACTAAAGAACTTCTGCAGAGTAAAAGAAACTACCATCAGAGTGAACAGGCAACCTACAACATGGGAGAAAATTTTCGCAACCTATTCATCTGACAAAGGACTAATATCCAGAATCTACAATGAACTCAAACAAATTTACAAGAAAAAAACAAACAACCCCATCAAAACGTGGGTGAAGGACATGAACAGACACTTCTCAAAAGAAGACATATATGCAGCCAAAACACACATGAAAAAATGCTCATCATCACTGGCCATCAGAGAAATGCAAATCAAAACCACAATCAGATACCATCTCACACCAGTTAGAATGGCAATCATTAAAAATCAGGAAAAAACAGGTGCTGGAGAGGATGTGAAGAAATAGGAACACTTTTACACTGTTGGTGGGACTGTAAACTAGTTCAACCATTGTGGAAGTCAGTGTGGCGATTCCTCAGGGATCTAGAACTAGAAATACCATTTGACCCAGCCATCCCATTACTGGGTATATACCCAAAGGACTATAAATCATGCTGCTATAAAGACACATGCACACGTATGTTTTCTGTGGCATTATTCACAACAGCAAAGACTTGGAACCAACCCAAATATCCGACAATGATAGACTGGATATAGAAAATGTGGCACATATACACCATGGAATACTATGCAGCCATAAAAAATGACGAGTTCACGTCCTTTGTAGGGACATGGATGAAATTGGGAATCATCATTCTCAGTAAACTATCACAAGAACAAAAAACCAAACACAGCATATTCTCACTCATAGGTGGGAACTGAACAATGAGAACACATGGACACAGGAAGGGGAACATCACACTCTGGGGACAGTTGTGGGGTGGAGGAAGGGGGGAGGGATAGCATTGGGGGATATACCTAATGATAGATGACGTGTAAGTGGGTGCAGAGCACCAGCATGGCACTTGTATACATATGTAACTAACCTGCACGTTGTGCACATGCACCCTAAAACTTAAAGTTTAATACTAATTAAAAAGGAAAAAAAGAAAAGAGAAACTGCTCTATCAAAAGAAATGTTCAACTCTGTCAGTTGAATGCAAAAATCACAAAGAAGTTTTGGAGAATGTTTCTGTCTATCTTTTATGTGTAGATATATCCGTTTCCACCATAGGCCTCAAAGCGCTACACATATCCACTTGCAGATTTTACAAAAAGAGTGTTTCAAAACTGCTCTATCAAAAGAAAGGTTAAACACTGTGAGTTGAAAGCAGACATCACAAAGAAGTTTCTGAGTATGTTTCTGTCTAGTTTTTATGCGAAGATATTGCCTTTTCCAGCATAGGCTTCAAACCTTCCAAATATCAACTTGCAGATTCTACAAAAAGAGTGTTTCAAAACTGCTCTATCAAAAGAAAAGTTCAACTCTGAGAGTTGAATGCACACATCACAAAGAAGTTTCTGAGAATACTTCGATCTTGTTTCTATGTGAATATATTTCGTTTTCCAACATAGGCCTCAAAGTGAACAAAATATCCATTTGCAGATTCTTCAAAAAGAGTGTTTCAAAACTGCTCTATCTAGGAAGGCGATGCTAATGGGTATTGCATAGGTGTAAGTAGAAAAATGTTGTATTTAAGAGAATCCCACAAGCTTGGTATACGGCAGAAAATAAATAGATGTGACATGAATAAGTAGTTTATTACATTTGTATGCTACCTGCGGACTAGAGGAAGCAAGAAACACAGCCACTATGCTTGATTAGCATTATAGAGATGGTACAATGATGGGTGTCAGAAGCTGGGGGGAGGAAGAAATGGGGAAGTATTGTTTAATGGGTATAGAGTTTCAGTTTTACAAGATGAAACGAATTGTAGAGATGGATGGTAGGGACGGCTGCACAATGTTATGACTATATTTAGTACCACTGAACTGTACACTTAAAATGGTTAACAGAATACATTTTATGTTATGTGTATTTTACCACAATAAAAAAATAAAATACCTTAGGAACATTTTCATGAAAAAGCCCACATAAAATTCATTTTAATGCACCTGTTTATGCATAGCTTTCTATTTTTCTCTTTTCTCTTTATATTCCAAATTCTAATCAGAGAAGGGAATCCCCTCTGTACCTCCAGGATATTCAGTAAAGACCACTGGAGGTTCATGCCCTAGTGACAGTGCTCATTTAGCTCCAAATTACAGATGGCTCTAGACTAACTCAACAAAGTTTAAAGAGAAGATTTAAAACAACAACAGACAAATACTCATCCTGAAGTTACTGAATTCCCTGCCAAAACATTGTTCAAAGGTAGCCAATGAAATGTAGATATTCAATAGCGTAACATCAACATACCCAAAAAAACCTCTGACATGCAAAGAAGCCGTAAGATATATATAATTAAGATATATATTAACAGGATAAAAATAAGTCATTTATAAATGACAGAAAAGAGGAAAATTTCAAGGTCCTTAAATTAAATATATTTTATAAATACATATAGATAAATACATATATATGTCAAGGTACTTAAATGAAAATTGAACATAGGAGAAAAAGAGAAGTTATAAAATGAAAAATGTGACATGTATAGATGAAAAATAAATATTTGAAATAAAAATTCCATGAGATAGAACAAGTAATGGGTTTTATCCTAACATCAGAAAATTTATAGAAAAAAATTGAAGCTTTACAAACTAAAGGACAAAGGGTAAACTAAAATAAGAAGGCCAGAAACTCACTGATACATCAGACAATATGCAGCAGTGTAACATACATGTAATCAATATCTCAAAAAGGATGGGTGGTGGAATTATAGTTGAATAAAGTATGGTACACTCATTCCTGAGGGCACCGAGGAGGGAGGATAGCTTTAGATTTCTTAGGGAGGGTATTATCCATTCATGAAGTTCCAACCCCATGTACAAACACCACCAAGTAAGCCCCACCTGCAACATTGGGGATCAAATTTTAACATGAGATTGGAAGGGGCAAGCATTCAAACCGTAGCAAGAGTTAAATTTCCTTTTTAAAAAAAATCACTGATATGATTCCATTTCGCCATAGATAAAAGCTAGT
Source organism: Homo sapiens (assembly GCF_000001405.40). Taxonomy (NCBI): domain Eukaryota; kingdom Metazoa; phylum Chordata; class Mammalia; order Primates; family Hominidae; genus Homo; species Homo sapiens. The sequence goes on from NC_000007.14 coordinate 60,893,016, forward strand.
ATTTCAGCCTACCATTGAGTGTGCTTATAGTTCACCAAAAGGGCACACTGTCTCGGGAATACAGATTTGCCTAGAGGTATCCTATTGCAGTCAAAGAAAGGGCAATGAGGGATAGAAAAGGTTAGTGATGGAGACACCAGCGCTGCATTTTGCAACAAACAATGTAAAAACTTTACGGATTGGTTCTGCTAACTTACTACAGTTTACATTCCTCTCAGGTGGGAGAATTGTTGCGTTATTTCTCAAGAGAGAAAAGCAATTCAGATATTCTGAAATCTCCACAGGAAGGATAAGAAGCACAGCGGAAACTATTCTAGGCAGGAAGTCAATCCTTTCAACTGTCTGTGCTCCATAGAAACAATTGTCTGCACTGGGAGTCATATGAGGTACAGACAACAGCTAGACCTCTGATCCTCTCATTAGTGATTTCAGGAGAAATTACCAGTCAACTGAGTAATTCACTGAGTAAAGTAAACATTTGGCACTGAAAGAGGTTAGACAGATAACTATTTGTATCAGCATATTCATGAAGCTGGAATATTTTCCATTACTGGTATCACATCTGAATGGAAGATGTTAAAAGGTCTCTCATCTTGTAAGATGGATATGACAGAACTTTCTCTGAGAAATGAAATTACTAACACACCTGCGAGGTGGATGGAAGAGAAAAAAAAGAATAATCAGCTTGAGTTCTTCTCCTTGATAAGACAACTCACTAAAAACTTAAAGAGAAAAATACAAGTTTAAAATAATTAACAAGAAGAAGACGACTCTAGCGTTTTTAAATTGCTGATAAGATTTTAATTTGCTCCAAGTTGAAAATAACTATATTGCTTGTGTTTTAAGGCACATAATGAGCAATTATATCACACATGATAGTTTCAGCAGTAAAATATTATCCGTTAACAGCTGGAACTCATAAAAGCATAGCACAATGTGAAGATGGAATTTGCTAAAATAAACCACCTGCTGAAAACTACTATTCTGCAAATTTAAAAACAAAGTTTGAATGTTATTTGTCTTATTTAAAAGGTTTGTGAAAAAAATGAGCTATATGAAAAGTAGCTGCTACCTTAATTAATTCTTTATATTAGACGGCTGGTCACAGTAATGCACAGTAAGGTGCTACATAGATATATTGCAAAATTTTCTGCATATACTATGTATTTGGCTTAAATTATTTGAAATTATGTAGTTAAAATAAAATAGTTTAAATAACATATTTAAATGTTTTGACACAAATTGCAAATATACCTTTAAAAAGCGTCTTACACTCTAAATATTATATGTCACCTATATATTTGTCTTTTCTTTATAGGAAAGTTTAAATTTTTCCCTTGAAGCTTTAATTACTTGACTCTATAAAACAAACTGATAATGTACAAATTAACAGGAAAAAAAGGTTTACAGATATGTGCACAAGTATGCACTTGGAGTTTACATAATGTATATAAATATATCTATACAAATATTTCTATATTATAAATAGATATACAAATATATACTATATATATAAAAACTCCAGGAAAGGCAAGGTAGTCAGCACGCCTATGCTGTCTTGAGGTTACAGAAAACACAGAGCTGTAGGTTGGTAAATCAGGCTTTGCAGAAGACAGGTGATGACAAGGAAGAAAGAGGAGCCTGGTAGCAGAGGTGGTCTTGTTACATGGATGAAACCTCACAGGGAGCAGCCCTCCTCTTGGGAAGTATAGATAGGAAATGGTGTTTAGAAATGTAAATGTGCCAGGCTCAGTTAATCTTTCCTAAACCCAAACAAGGGAGTATCTCAGGGAAAGCCTGTCTATGTGAATGCAGATTTTCTCTACTAATGCAAATCTCCCCAACAAACACAGCTTTTCAGCTATTCTTGTAGAAAAAGCTATCTCCACTCTTCCGAGTAACCATCTTGAAATATGTCAAAAAGCTGGCCAGGCGCACACCTGTAATCCCAACACTTTGGGAGGCTGAAGTGGGTAGATCACCTGAAGTCAGGAGTTGGAGACCAGCCTGACCAACATGGTGAAACCCTGTCTCTACCAAATACAAAAAATTAGCCAAGTGTGGTGGTGCATGCCTGTAATCTCAGCTACTTGGGAGGCTGAGCTAGGAGAATTACTTGACCCTGGGAGGCTGAGGTTGCAGTGAGCCAAGATTGTGCCATTGCACTCTAGCCTGGGCAATAAGAGCAAAACTCCATCTCAAAAAAAAATGTATTTTAGGGTAATATTTTGAGTATCTTTACCTCCCTATGTACAGTAAATATTATTGTGATTTTTAATCTTTTCTGTCGAGAAAACACAGGTGTGATTTCTAGTGTAGCTGAACATCGTTTATTTGACAATATTGCACTTGTGTGTGAGTGTGTGCGTGTGTAGCTACTCTTTCATTTTGTTCTCACATAATGATTAGATATTAACAATTAATTCAGAAAAATGTATGTTTTGCAATATTTCTCCATGTTATCATGCTTTAAATTAGTTTAATCGTGTCCCTATAATGTGTACATTTTAAGCTTTGACTATAGGTCTCAATCTTACTTTGGTTCCTGTATTTGAATTTATGCTAATAAAGTCCTTCAGCTAAAAAGATTATATAAACTTATCTACATTTTACTAGTATTCTGGTGACATTTTAAATTATGTAACAAAATCAAATTTTAATTTGGACTATTGTTATCTGAGATAAGGATCTAAATTTATAATTTTCTTATAAATATTACATAATTATTTCTGAACCATATATTGACTATTCTGCCCTTTATATGATGTGCATTATAAGAGCTTGGGATTGTTTCATTTCCAAAGATGAATGCTTGAGAAGTAGACATTTAATCATAACATTTCAAAATCTACTGGATAACCAAGAATTGAAAAATAGCCTATAGGTTGAAAAACTCCTGTAATGAAGAAAGGAAATAACTAATATACAGTGAAAATATAAATATTATAAGTATTTATTTTATTATCGCCCTGAAATTTGATAATACAAACATGTAATATCTACATATCATCTATATATCAGGTCACAAAAAATCAATACGTTCTTCAAAAATTTAGCATAACAGAAAATGCACTCTCCCTCCTTGATGGAATTAAGTTACAAATAAAAGTAAAAATAAGTAGATAAGTAGATGGAAGTAGATGTTTAAAAACAAGGAAAAGTATTTGTTTTGGATAACATAAAATCTCAATTGACAACTCCAATATTTCCAGAATTTTGCTTGTCAACTGGTGGAGAGTTTTCCCCAGGAGACATTTGTCAATGTCTAGGGTTATTGTGGGGATGTCAAGACTGGTGGAGGTGTGAAATTTAGAGGTCAAACGAAACACCTAGCACTGCTAGGGCAGCCTCCCACAACAAAGAATCCTCTGGTCCTAAAGGTAAGTAGCACCAAGGTTCAGAAACCATAATCTAGACAGGAAACACTACGTAGCTATTCCAAGTGCTCAGGAAAACACATCAGTGCCCTCGAGGGGAAAAGTGTAAACATTTTAATTGCTGTACATGGTGACACAAATCCATGTTGTTAATCTAAGTGGAAGGGGCTGAAGCACAAAACGAAATTCAAAGAGTTTACTTGAGCCACAATGAGGACAGCTGCCTGGAAGAAACAGACCCAAGTATCCTTGGATATAAACTCCCTTTGGAGCTTTGCAACAAGCAGTTTCTTGAAGGCAAAAAAGGTTCCAGAAGTGGGATGATGCAAAGAGGTTTGTCACAAATTCTCATTGGCTTATGGAAATAACATTTATTAGTGACTGGCTATACACTGTTACACTATTATTGGGTGTGGGTTATAGTGTCTGGTGTGGCGTTATTGGTTAATTTATAGATACTGTGGCAACAGCAAGCAGCCTAGATGAACACACAGCTCAAAGACGAGCAGGACAGAACTGCTGTCTCATTTGAATATCTCTCTGGACCTGATTATTTAAAAGGACTTGCATTTCTCTCATGAAAGTTATTTTCTTTTCTCAATGTCCATAAATGAGAATAAATAGACGTAAAATAGATCTTTTCGAGGATGAAGTAAATGGAATGAAAAACAAAATCCAAGCTGACCAGAAATCATAGAGGGAAGAAAAGGTTATAAATATATGGATTTTTCAAAGTGATTTTAAGCTATTAGGAATCAGTTACATGTTGGGGGATTTTGTCTGAGAATGGGCTAAAGGAGAATGTCCCTTTTGCCTTCTGAAGCTTCCCTGAAAATCACTAATAGGAGGCAGAAAAATAGTAGAAAAGTCATACAGGTTTCTGCAATGTGTGTACAGTGGAGCCCTTAGAACGATGACCCAGACACACGATGCGTGCAGAAGCTTATCTACCACATGAAGTTTACAAAAAGAATGGGGTCTTAGATCACAGGGAAAAAAAAGAAACGTTATGTGAGGAAACGAACCTGGCTAGCAACAATGGACTTATTACATAGGTGGAACCTCACTCGGAGCAGTCCTCAGAGAGAATAGACAGAAAATGTTTCTTTCAGACCTTTGGAGACCTCAGACTCTCAGTTAAACTTTCTTAGATCTAGAGAAGAGGGCAGACCTCAGATAAAGCCTGGCTGCATCAAGGCAGATTCTATACCGATAAAAATCTCCCCAAGACAGCTTTAAAGCTAAGTTTGAATTTCCAGCCCTTCTCAATAGCCATTTTGAAATATATCAAGGAAATATATTTAGGGGTAAAATATATTAGTTTCCCTCTTACAGCTATAAAACATACAGGAATAATTTTTGTCAATGTCTACTACAAATCCAATATAGCAGTAATTATAAAACCCTCCAGATATTGAAGAAAAAATATGTAGAGTACCTGAATTACAAATGTTGATACTAAAATGCTAAATAAAATATAAATAATATCCAACAATATTTCAAACAGTAAGACAAGAAATTGCCAAAAAAAATAAAACAAATATCCACCTTGGGGATGAAAGTGTGTTTCAAAATTTGGTAATCCAATAATATTAATATTCATACTGATTAGTCCAAATTAAAAATAAATAGGGGATTCTCAGTACATGCTAAAGTATATTTGTCAAAAGGCTATATTTATGTCTTTAAAGATTTTAAATGCTATAAAGAGTCTGATATTCTATATGGAAACGTGTATGTCCATTAGAAGAAGAGAGGCCTGATTTTCATGTCACTACAAAGAGATAGAGAAGTGGATAGATTAATTTGCATATGCATAGAGAAAGCATAACATAGAAATTTACTATCACATTAAAGGAATTTTAATTCAACAGTGAAATAATTCAAAGGTAAAATTTTAAATATTTTTAACTGGTACATTATTATTAGATAATATTTATAATAATTGTGAAAATATTCAATGCTAAAATAAGATACAATGTCTAAACATCTGTATTAAAACTAGTATAAATATTTGCTTGTTTATACAAGGAAAATTCAAACTCGACCTAAAATTATATGGGAAATAAAAGAAAAATTTTAAGGGAGCTCTTTAATAACATAATCATATATATATATACACACACACATATAACATGTATATATGTTATATGGGATAGATATAGATTTAACATGTTATATCTATATTTGTATCTATAACTACAGCTGTATGTATCTACATTTCTATATATTTACTCAGTGATATAAATATAGACTGGAATAAATATAAAGACACATATGATTCTTGGATAAAAAAGATTTAGTATCATAAAGACAAATCCTTTCCAAATTCACTTATGAATTCACAACAATATACAGTTTCATTAGTATAATTTAAAATTTTTAAACAAATTCCAAGATTCATTTAAAGGAATATACATTTATATAAGCAGTCAAGACAGAAGCAAGAGTGCACTAACCTAACTTGCTATTAAAATACATTTATAAACTTAGTCACTGAAACTGAGCAGTACTGATTTGGAGTACTGGAATTTAGGTACATGGGATCTCAAAAGCACAGAGCTCAAAAGAGACCCCTGTATGCACGAGAACTTAGGATGTGCTTTAGAAGGCATTACCAAACCACCGGCAAAATTACTTTAGTGTCTTAGTCTTACTAGGTTTGAAAAGCCAGAGAAAAGACTCCAGACCACCATATAAGAGCAAAACAAAAGGACAGGGAGAGAATGTGAAGATACTGAAATATTTTTCATAAAGTTGTATAAAACATCCTTTAAAGAAAATATAAAATTTAGGATATACATCAAAATCAGCAGAGCCAGTAAATAAATAAATAGGCATTGTAAAATAACAAGAGAAAATTTAAATGGATTTCTAAAAAATATTGACACCTATGATTTTTAAAATATGTTTAAGAAATCCCGTATTTCACAGGGCAGCCTTTCACAACACAGATATGTTAGGACATAAAGGTCCTTCTGTTTTTAATTTACTAATGTTTATAGGGTTACAAATGTCTTCTACCCTTGTCTTTTGTCTGATGGTGCAAAAAAATTTCATAAGCATGTATTTCTGAATGCCTGATGGATTGACATATACAATAAGCTGCTAGTATTAAAATATGTGACAAGAAATGCATCCAATCTTCTCACTGTATACATAAATTCTAGGTTTCTCCTATTTACCTCAAGCATGTATGGACTGAACTCTTACCTTTTAATATTGCCATGGCATTCACATTGAACATAAGTTGAACTCTCTCATATGGTAGCTGGGTTCAGATTCCCTTGACAATTTCCAGATCTAACCCTCACAGTTCCTCAGTGTGGTTGGCCCAGATATTGACCCTACACAGTTGCCTCCTCCTGGTGACTACCAGCTATGTAACCGTTTGATACAACCTACCTGAATCACCCCACAAACCTCACAGAGGACATGGACAGCCCCACATGCCAGAGTGACCTGCTCGATTGCAGCGGGAGTCAAGAAATGTGCCTGCTGGCACTCACCCCACCGACTAGTGCCCCGTGGAAAACTTATTTGGATAATGTTCTGGGCCCAATAAAGGCTGGAGTCCCACAGACCTCTTTTCTCTCTCCTGCTCCCCACTCATCTTCACCATTTTGTTCAGCCCTATGAGGTGTGCTACTGTATTAGTCCATTTTCACACCACCGGTAAAGACATGCCCAAGACTTGGTAATTTCCAGAAGAAAGAGGTTTAGTAGATGCACAGTTCCACATGGCTGGGTAGGCCTCACAATCATGGTGCAAGCTGAAAGGCACGTCTCACATGGCAGCAGACAAGACAAGAGAGCTTGTGCAGGAAACCCCCCTTTATAAAACCATCAGATCTTGTGAGACTTATTCACTATCAGAAGAACAGCATGGGAAAGACCTGCCCCCATGATTCAATTACCTCCCACCTGTTCCCTCCCACAACATGTGGGAATTCAAGATGAGATTTGGCTGGGGACACAGCTAAACCCTCTTCTCAGCTACCCTCTTCTCTCTGGATCTGTGAGTAATAAACCTACTTCTGTGATTTCCCATGTTTGGTTCTGTGGCCTCCATGGGTCTGACCTGACCTACACTGGAACCTAACTCTCCTCCTGGCCAGGGTCTCTGAGAGTGGCTCTTGTCAGAAATACACAGGACACAGGTCAGGCAACAGTCACCAGGCATCTCCTAGTCTCAACAGATGTTCTGTGAGAGGGAGGCCTGGTCGTGGGATGCACACCTGGCCACTGCTGGGGTAAGGAAGTGTCCTGTGAAAGGCACATGTTAAGCATCCACAACCCCCTGACCAGAACCCCAGAAAGGCAGGGCTCCAATTGACAGTCACTCTCCGGAGACAAACCTCAAGCCCTAACTGTATGAAAAGAAAACAATGTAAAAAGTTGAATTTATCTTACTATTTCAATGATCCAGTAAAGACATTCTATGCCTGAACACCACACATTTTCTTTGATTGTGGATTTATTTTAGATAGAATTTTAGGTCTGGCTTTCGCTTTAGCCTGGTCCCTACCTCAAGCATAAGGTAAAGATTTTCCATGTGTTCTTTTCTGGTACTACTACCTGCCAGTGTGGGGTCATGTCCTAGTCTATCTTGAGGGTATCCCCCTGTTCATTATTGTCACAGTGAGACTGTTAAGTCTTGATTTCCCTGGACAACTTCGCTGCATGACTTTTAATATGATTTTTTAATATACCCTTTACTGGACAATAAATTATATCATTATCTGAGTAAGAGATATGGTCAGGAAGAGGCATTGCCTCATTCAGCTTTTCTCTTTGGTGAACTCGCATATGTTCTCCTCATCCACCAGTCACCTCTAAACCGTATTGTTCTAAGACAGCAAACAGAACTCGAGTGTGTATCTTTCACCACTGGATTTGTGTTTGCTCCATAAAGCTTCATGCTTGATAGGGTTTCTGTTGGCATTTTGTCTATTTATTTTCCCATAAAATATCACAGACCTTCTTCATATGGAATTACGGGTGATTTCCTTCAGTCTGCATCATATCAAGTTGGGGTTCATGTTGACGAAAAGTAAAACATACGTTGAAAATATCAGTAAGGATGTTTTCCTCTCCTTTTTAGCACCTGTGCTTGTGATACAAGCACATTTTAATACAATTGTGGTCTCATGCTTTGATCATTCCTATGATGAAAATAAAATTTTTAGACAAAATATCTGAGTTTTATGAGGCCTTTAGTATGTGATGTGATAGAATATCAGAAGACCATACTTTTTTCTAGTTTTCCGTGCAATTCTTTCATTGTTTCATCTTTACTCCTACCAGAGTAATTTTGCAAAATAGATATCTTGTCATTCTTCCGGTTGTTATCAGTAAATAAGTGAAATGAAAAGCTAGATTATATAATTTATCTAGAACAAGAAAGTAGAATTAAATCTATATTCATTAATGAGACTAACCAGTCAATTACACAGATGGGCATTTTACATTTTGAAGATCATATGGACCCATTGTCAGAAATATTATTATTTATGTCTATATGGACATCACCTGTGCATATTTACATGGAAATCAATGAGAGCTGATATTTATTTTTATTATATATATTTTTTGAGATAGGGTCTTGCTTTGTTGCCCAGGCTGGAGTGCAGTGGTGCAATCACTGCTCACTGCAGCCTCAACCTCCCAAGCTCAAGCAATCCTTCTACCTTGGCCTCCCAAATAGCTAGGACAACAGGTGCACATCACCATGCCCACTTTTTTTTTTATTATACTTTAAGTTTTAGGATACATGTGCACATTGTGCAGCTTAGTTGCATATGTATACATGTGCCATGCTGGTGCGCTGCACCCAGTAACTCGCTGTCTAGCATTAGGTATATCTCCCAATGCTAACCCTCCACCCTCTCCCCACCCCACAACAGTCCCCAGAGTGTGATATTCCCCTTCCTGTGTCCATGTGATCTCATTGTTCAATTCCCACCTATGAGTGAGAATATGCGGTGTTTGGTTTTTTGTTCTTGTGATAGTTTACTGAGAATGATGATTTCCAATTTCATCCATGTCCCTACAAAGGACATGAACTCATCATTTTTTATGACTGCATAGTATTCCATGGTGTATACGTGCCACATTTTCTTAATCCAGTCTATCATTGTTGGACATTTGGGTTGGTTCCAAGTCTTTGTTATTGTGAATAATGCCACAATAAACATACGTGTGCATGTGTCTTTATAGCAGCATGATTTATAGTCCTTTGGGTATATACACAGTAATGGGATGGCTGGGTCAAATGGTATTTCTAGTTCTAGATCCCTGAGGAATCACCACACTGACTTCCACAATGGTTGAACTAGTTTACAGTCCCACCAACAGTGAGAAAAACAAGCAATGGGGAAAGGATTCCCTATTTAATAAATGGTGCTGGGAAAACTGGCTAGCCATATGTAGAAAGCTTAAACTGGATCCCTTCCTTACACCTTATACAAAAATCAATTCATGATGGATTAAAGACTTAAACATTAGACCTAAAACCATAAAAACCCTAGAAGAAAACCTAGGCATTACCTTTCAGGACATAGGCATGGGCAAGGACTTCATGTCTAAAACACCAAAAGCAATGGCAACAAAAGACAAAATTGACAAATGGGATCCAATTAAACTAAAGAGCTTCTGCACAGCAAAAGAAACTACCATCAGAGTGAACAGGCAACCTACAAAATGGGAGAAAATTTTCGCAACCTACTCATCTGACAAAGGGCTAATATCCAGAATCTACAATGAACACAAACAAATTTACAAGAAAAACAAAAGCAAACCCATCAAAAAGTGGGCGAAGGACATGAACAGACATTTCTCAAAAGAAGACATTTATGCAGCCCAAAAACACATGAAAAAATACTCATCATCACTGGCCATCAGAGAAATGCAAATCAAAACCACAATGAGATACCATCACACACCACTTAGAATGGCAATCATTAAAAAGTCAGGAAACAACAGGTGCTGGAGAGGATATGGAGAAATAGGAACACTTTTTTTTTTTAATTTTGATAGAGACTGTGTCTTGCTATGTTGCCCAGGTTGCTTGTGAACTCCTGGGCTCAAGGAATCCTCGCATTTCAGCCTCTTCAACTGCTGGTATTACAAGCATGAACCACCATATGGGCTGGAAGCTGATTTTTAAAATACTGAGATCATATAGATGACAGCACCTGAAAAATAGACAACACCAAGCTTGATGTTAAAAGGTGTGAGGGTATCAATATTGTTCTGGCTATTGGGGAGAAAACCATTTGTAAAACCAGTAAGTTAAAGCTCTTGCTTTAAACTTTGGCTTTAATTTAACAAATGTTCTATGGAGTGACAGTATGTATGTAACCATGCTATGCCCATTCACAGATGCAGTAGAGGGAAGAATTTCTCAAACACAACTGTTCTAAGACTCAAATTAAACCGTACTGGGTTTGAAAAGAGAAAGTCCAGGAATTACCAAATATTTTAGATATCAGATATGAGAGAATGCCAGGTATGCGATGATAATCAACAATGGTTGTTCACACAATACATCAAATCAGTATTTGAATTAGCTTTTGAATTACAAGGACAAATGGATCAAGTCTAGACTCTTTAGTAGATAAATCTTATTAGGCTGAGATGTGTTTTCCCCTGTTTTTCCACAAGGAGATTACAAATTTGCAAACCTCAGCTGCTCTCATTTTATGCTCTCACCAAGCCAAAAGCTGAAGTTCATCAATCAGTGTGTCTAAGTGTTCACTGGTTATATAATATTTTGTAGTTTCAGCTATCTTTCCAACTTCTTAAATCATCACCTTCATTTGATCTTGTTTTTTCCACTATCACTTCTTTATTGACCATATAAAGAATATAAGTAAGTTCTTATTTTGTTATTGTTCATTTTAGTCTAATTTCATCAAAAGATCACAATCTTTTAATTTCATTTTCATTTCAAAGATTAAATGAAACCCACATAGAAATGAGTGTAAGATTTGCATTTGCATTATTTTGGCATCAATTTGCTATCCTCCCTCATACACATAGAGATCGTTTCCATGTACGTGATTTCAAACATCCAAGTGCAGTATTAAGAGCAGTTGTAAATTATGGTTCTCATTTTCATGATACAATTACAGTATAAACTTCCTCTTGCTGCTGTAACCAATTACCACAAATTTCATATCTTACAATAAAGTGACCATTAATCCTACAGTTCTGTAGTTCAGAAGCCTTAAATGAAACTCACAGGGCTAATATCAAGTTTTGGGTAGGACTGCAGTCTTTCTGAGGGCTATGTGGCAGAATCTATTACTTGATTTTTTCAGCATCCACAGGCCACCTTTATTCTTTGGAACATGTCCTCATTCTTATATCCTATTTTTTTTTTTTTTTTTTTGTGATGGAGTCTCCTTCTGTCACCCAGGCTGGAGTGCAGTGGCACGATCTCAGCTCACTGCAACCACTGCCTCCCGGGTTCAAGGGATTCTTCTGCCTCAGCTTCCTGAGTAGCTTGGACTACAGACACTTGCCACCACACCCAGTTAATTATTTGTATTTTTAGTAGGGATGGGGTTTCACCATGTTAGCCAGGATGGTCTCAATCTCCTGACCTCGTGATAAACCCACCCTAGCCTCCCAAAGTGCTGGGATTAGGCATGAGCCACCGCGCTGTGTCCTCATTCTTGTATCTTAAAAGTCAGTGATGTTGAGTAATTTCTCATGCCACCACCTCCAAGGTTGCCTTTCTTCTGCCTTCTCCTTTCATTTATAATGAAGTTTGTGATTTCATTGATCCCACCCATTTAAGACAATCTCTCTATCATTTTTTCCGCAACCTTAATTTCGCTTGAAATCTAATTTCACACTACCGTGCAACCTAACATATTTGTATGTTAGACTCTGGGAATTAGGACATGAAAATTTTTGGGAGGCTATTCTTTGACCTACAACAGACATAATCTATTTACCTGCAGATTAAAGCGTTCTTTATTTTTCTGTCCCCCTCTCTTAATTTTTTTAAAATAATATGAATTGCAGTAAAGAGAAAGACAGAAAAGAAAACAAAGAAATAAAAAGAAGGAAGGAAGGAAATAAAGAAAGAAGAAAGAAAAGAAGGAGGAAATGAGGGAAGGAAGGGAGGGAGGGAGGAAGGGAGAAAGGGAGGAAGGGAGAAAACAGAAAGCAAGAACACAAGAAAGAAAGAAGGAAGGAAAGAAAGAAAGAAAGAGAAAGAAAGAGAGAAAGAGAAAAAGAAAGAAAGAAAGGAGGAAGGGTGGAAGGAAAGGAGGAAGAGAGAATGGTAAAAGGGAGGAAGGCAAAGGAACAAAGGTAATAAACAGGCAAAGGTAGGAAAGAAAAAGAGGAAAGGAAGGGAGGGAGGAAGGAAGAAATGGAGGGCTGGAGGAAGGGAGAAAAAAGGAAAGGAAGCCAGAACGTGAGAAAAAAGAAAGAATATGAGAAAAGAAGGAAGAAAAGGGAGGGAGAAAGGAAGGGAGGGCGGAGGGAAGGAAGAATTAGAGGAAAGAAAGAAAGAAGGAAAGAAGGAAAGAAGGAGAAAAAAAGAAAGAAAAGAAAGAAAGGAAAAGAAAAAAGAAAAGAAAAGGAAGATGAAAAGAAGAAAGGAAGGAAGAAGGCAAGGGAAGGGAAGAGAAGAGAAAGGACGATGGAAAGAAGAAAGGAAGAATGCAAATATTAAAAATTCTGGGTTTGTTAGAGAATATGCCATACTGTTTTTTTTTTTCACTTGAAAGGAAAGAGTATCTGCCATTGAAGATTGGATGTCTTGTTGGTGATATTGTTGTTCTTATCTCCCACATGATTACTGAATTTGTGCCTAGTCTTTCCATTACTAAGACAAAAGTGTTGAAGTCTGCAAACATAATTTTGGATTTTTCTAGTTCACCTTTGATTTCTTTCCTGTTTTACCTCATGTATTTGGAGGTTCTGTTGTTAGCTGCATAACCTAATTATTAGGATGTTTACATCTTCTTGAGAATTGATTATTCTATTATCTATTATCTCTCATCTCTGATACTATTTCTTGTTCTGAACTCTGTTGTGGCTAATATCAATGTAGTCCTTCCACAGCCTTATTTTAGTGTTTCCATGATACGGTTTTCTCCATATCTTGATGATAACCTATTTATATATCTATATATTTGGAGCAAGATATAAAATTTAGACTTGATTTTTTAAAGATTTTTCAAGATGTACTTCTTATTTCTTTTTGTTCTATTTAACATTCTCTGAGTTTCCTATATTTGAAGTTTGATTTTCTGTCACTTCTTTTAGAATATTTTGGCAGTTATTTTGAAAAATATTTCTTTTTCTCCATTATTTTTCCCTCTTTTCTTTTTGGGATTTCAATCATAACTAGAGTAGGTAATTTCATCTCAGTCTTATGCAGGTACTTTTTCTCAGGGTCTCAGGAATGTAGACTTCTCACACTTCTGTTCTTTTCCTGGCTGTGTTGGTGAGCTCAGTGATATTCCTCCTTCACCTTCAAGAGCAGTTTTGTTTTGTTTTTCCTGTTTTCATAATCCCAGCATCAGGAGGATCCTAAGTGTGGCAGTTTTTGTTGCCTTCCCCTACATATTAAGTGGAATATATTGGTCTGTTTGGACTCTTATAACAAAATAACATAAACTGAGTGACTAAAAAGCAACAGATATTTCTTTTTTCACACTTCTTGAGGCTGTGAGATCTCAGGTCAAGATGCTCACAAATTCAGTGTTGATGAGAGCCCATTTCATGGTTCACAGATGCTGCCTTCTTTCTATGTCCTCACATAGTGAAAGGCACACAAGAACTCCAATGAGCTTCTTTTATAAAGGCACTAATCCCATTCATAAGGGCTCGGACCCCAAGACCTGGTCACCTCCCAAGTTTTCTGCTCTCCCTGATCTGTGTCATATACAGACTCTCTTGGATTCCTTACCAATTGCTTGAGAGATCGCAGTGGGATTGTGGGGAAAAAGTTTTCAAGATGATGGATCTTTCCCAACTTCTGCAGCTGTCAGCGGTCTCCCAATCTCACCAGCCCCACTTTGTCTTTAGGAATTTATTGATTATTCCAGCTTTACTTGTCATAGTGGTGTCTATTTGCATCTGTCCTATGTAAGTGTATCTGTCCTTTTTCTCCTTGCAGGTGCAAGTACTCAGGAGTACACTGTTGTTACTAATTACTCAGTATTGGTTTGTACATCGTCAAAGATCAAAGAACATTTTTAAAGATAAAAAAAATTCTTGGAGGTTGTGTAATGAAGGGTTAATTCTGCAGACATGGCTTTCCAAAACCTTGCGCATTCCAAAGGTCTTCAGGACTGGTCCTTGACAAGCTCCTGGGAGATGATAACCTATGAGCCCTTGGTATATGTTGCCTGATGAGAGTCTTTGTATGCGTGACAACGTAGGTCATATCAAATAACTGATGCTAACAACGTGATTTCTTGTGAGTACCTGTTTCTGTATGCCTATGACTTTGTGTAATGCCATATTAATATGACCTCTCTTAGGGCATAGGGAGATTGGGAACTAAGTTGCTAAGTTCAGTCACAGGACGCTCGATGCATATGTGGTGGAATCCTAATAAAAACCCTGGACTCAAGACTGACGGAGCTTCCCTAGTTGGCAACAAGTTCACACATGTTGTCTCACACCATTGTAAAGAAAATTAGTCAGTGTGAAGTCCCCACTATGAAAGGACACCTGTAAGCTCACATCTGGTTTGTCCTGGACTCTACTTTATGTGCTTTTATGCTTCTGATTATTTTAATCTGGCTTCTTTCACTGTTAGAAACTATAACCACAAAAAAAATCAGCTTTCTTGGGTGATGTGAATCATTAAACCAAAGGGGGACTTGGGGACCCCCAATAAAAAGTATATATATTCTTAAAAAGAAAAAGAAAACTGGCTATAGCAGATATTGCTGATGACTTGTCTTCTATGTCCTCACTCAATGTGTTCACCTGAAATTCACCTGTTTCCAGCTAACTGAGAGCTCCCCACATCATGCCTGTCTTTCTGATTTTGGGCCTGCCTGCAAGCTTCTTGAGCTAACCAGTGCTTCTCACCACACATAGGAAAAAAGAAGGAGTTAGGGGTGGAGAGTTAATGATTCTAAGGCAATCCTTAAGCAATAAGAGATGGGAATTCCAGCATCCCCATCTCTTTGTAAAGTTATTTTGACACAATCTCCATACCTCCATCATTACTGAGCACATAGCAGTAACTACTCATTCACATTGGCTTCGTGTTCTGTTTCATTTTCTCCACTTCTGTGCTTTCTCACTCAATTTCTGATTAAAGTATCTGACCCCAGATATTTGTTTCATAGTCTATTTTTGAGGGAATCCAGAGCCAAGACAATAACAATGGGAGCTTTGCAATGAGGGAGGGTGAGTATAATCATCAGAAGGTTACATACCTCACTGGGAACATGAAGGCCTGGAGAGCTTGCTGTTTCAGTGAGAGAAACATGTTGAATGTCAGTTGAATACATACATACATATATATATATATATATATATATATATATATATATATATATATATATATATATGTGCAATAAGACGTGCCCTTTACTTATATCAAAGGAAAGTGCTCTTTACCTCTCTTTGTTGTTGTGTTTTTATCACTATTGCCTACACAAGCAGAATATCTTACCCAGGATTTAAAGCCCTCTCTGCAGGATTTTCAAGCTCATGTTTTTATCATAAGTCACTCTGCTTCCATGTGTTTTAAATCTAATCCTCATTCCTCTGCTTTTACACCAGAGAATTCATCACTGACTTATTTTTGACTGACCTCCTTATAGAGCTGTCAAGTACACAATTTCTGCTGTGACCTTGCTCTTAGAGTTCAGTCATATAGCCTCTCACTAGATATCATTTCCTCTTATCTTTCCTAATAATGAATTGTCAGTTAAAACTCAACATTTTTAAGATTGAGCTTACCATCTGCACACACACACACACACACCATTATTGGTGTATTCTCATAGCCTTGAAACACTAATGTCACGTTGATGTCTGCCTTTTCTTTCTCTGCTACCTCATTCCTCATCCTTAGATTATTCTAAAAGATTCAATTAGATCAAGTTGGCTAATTATATTTATAAGATCCTCTCTAACCTTCCCAACATTACATTTAACAAAATTTAAAAATTTCTGGCAGGAGACTGTTGAAATTCCCATGGATGACTATGGTTTTACTATTTTACCTTTCAGTTTTAATAGGTTTTATATTATGTATTTTAAAGTAATGCTATTGTGTGCGTACATATTTCATATTTACATGACTTCTTGGTACATTTTGCCCTTTGTCATTGTGAAATGTTATTCTTCATCCCCAGTGATATTTCCTGTTCTGATGTCTACTTTGCTCATCACAGTTTTCGGGGGTTTTGGTTTGTTTGTTTTTCTATTGTTTGGTTCAAGTAAGTTTCTTATAAATCTGTTCGATTCCATTTGATGATTCCATTTGATTCCATTTGAGGATTCCACTCGATTACATTCAATGATGATTCCATTCGAGTCCATTCAATGATTCCATTCGAGTCCATTCGATGATTCCATTCGATTCCATTCGATGATGATTCCATTAGAGTCCATTCGATGATTCAATTCGATTCCATTTGATTCCATCGATGATGATTCCATTAGAGTCCATTGGATGATTCCATTCGAGTCCATTTGATGATTCCATCCTATTACATTCAATGATGACACAATTCGAGTCCTTTCGTTGATTCCATTCAATTCCATTCTATGATGACTGCATTCGGTTCCATTCGATGATGATTCCAACGGATTCCATTCGATTTCTCCATTCGATTCCATTCCTTGCTGATTCCATTCAATTCCATTAGATGATGACTCCACTAGATTCCATTCGATGATGATTTCATTAGATTCTATTCGATGATGATCCAATTCGATTCTATTCAATGATGATTCTATTCGATTCCGTTCAATAATTTCATTCGATTGCGTTCGAAGATTCCATTCATTTCCATTTGATGGTGATTCCATTCATGTCCAATCGATTATTGTTTTGATTCCATTCGATGATGATTCCACTTGAGTCCATTCGATTCCATTCGATTCCATGCAATGATGATTCCATTGAGTCCATTCGATGATTCCATTTGATTCCATTAGATGATGACTTCATTCGGTTCCATTCGATGATGATTCTAACGGACTGCATTCGAAGACTCCATTCGATTCCATTTATTGATGATTCCATTCGATTCCATTTGATGATGATTCCTTTCTATTCCCTTTGATGATGATTCCATTCGATTACATTTGATGATGATTCCATTCGATTCCATTGAATGATGATTCCATTGGATTCCATTCGATGATTCCATTTGATTACATTCGATCATGATTCCTTTTGGGTCCCTTCAATGATTCCATTCTATTCCATTAGATGATGATTCCATTCGATTATTCCATTCAACTCCATTTGATGTTTTCTTTCAATTCCACTCAATGTTGTTTCCATTTGAGTCCATTCAATGATTCTATTCGAGTGCATTCCATGATTTTATTTGATTCCATTCGATGATGATTCCATTTGATTCCATTCGATGATTCCATTTGATTTCATTTGATGATAATTACATTAGATTCCATTCGATGACACCATTTGAGTCCATTCAATGATTCCATTTGATTCCATTCGATGATGAATCCATTCGAGTCCATTCAATGATGATTCCATTTGAATACATTCAATGATTCTGTTGGATTCTATTCTTTGTTTTATTTTGACTCGTTTTGATGATGATTCCATTCAGTTTCATTCGATTATCCCATTGTATTCTATTCGATGATGTTTCCATTCGATTCCATTTGAAGAAAATTCCATTCAATTCCATTGATGATGATTCCATTCGATTCTATTTGATGCTGCTTCTATTTGATTCCATTCAATGACGATTCCATTTGATTCCATTTGATGATTAAATTCGATTCCATTCGATGATGATTCCATTCGAGACCATTCGATGATTCCATTCAATTCCATTCAATAATGATTCCATTCGGGTCCATTCGATGATTCCATTCAAGTCCATTCGATGATTCCATTCAATTCTATTTGATGATATTTCCATCTGATTCCATTTGACAATGATTGCCTTTGATTCCATTCTATGATTCCATTCGGTTCCATTCAAAGATGATTGCATTCGATTCCATTTGATGATTCCATTTGATTCCATTGGTTGATTCCATTCGATTATATTTGATGATTATTCCCTTCGAGTGCATTCGATGATTCCATTCGAGTCCATTCAATGATTCCATTCGTGTACATTTGATGATTCCATTCAATTTCATTTGATGATGAATCCATAGAGTCCATTCGATGATTCCATTCGAGTGCATTTGATAATTGCATTTGAGTTCATTTGATGATTTCATTTGATTCCTTTTGATGATTCCATTCGAGTCCGTTTGATCATTCCATTCGAGTCCATTCGATGATTCCATTTGAAGATAATCACACTCGATTCCATACGACGATGATTCCATTTGAGTCCATTCAATGAATTCATTTGATTCAATTTGATGATGATTCCATTCGAGTCCATTCAATGATTCCATTCTATTCCATTTGATGATGATTCCTTTCAACTCCATTCAATGATTCTATTCAAGTCCATTCAGTAATTGCTTTGGATTCCATTAGATGACGATTACATTTGATTCCATTCAATGATGATTAGATTCGATACCTTTCTATGATTCAATTCCATGCGATGTTGATTCAAGTCAATTCCGTTTGATTATTCTATTCTTTTACATTCAATGATGATTATATTTGATTACATTCAATGTTACTGGTTGATTATATTTGATGATGATTCCATTTGATTCCATTCGATGATTCCATTAGATTCCTTTCGATGATGATTCCATTCGATTCCATTCAATGATGATTGCATTTGTGTCCATTCGATTATTCCATTTGATTCCATTCAATGATGATTCCATTCGAATCCATTCGATGATTCCACTTGATTCCATTCGATGACTCCTTTCGATCCCATTCGATGATTCCCTTTGATTGCATTCGATGATCATTCCATTTGATTCAATTCAGTGATTCCATTTGATTGTATTCACTGATGATTCCATTTGACTCCATTTGATGATGATTGCGTTCGATTCCATTCGATTATAATTTCATTCAATTCCATTTGATGATGATTCCATTCGAGTCCATTCGATGATTCCATTAGATTCCATTTGATGATGATTCCATTCAATGCCATTCGATGATTCCATTCGATTCCATTCAACAATGATTCCATTCGTGTCCATTCAATGATTCCATTCAATTCCATTTGATGATGATTCCATTTGAGCCCATTCGGTGATTCTATTCAATTCCATTCTATGATGATTCCCTTCTAATCCATTTGATGATTCCATTTGATTCCATTGGATGATGACTGCATTCGGTTCCATCTGATGATGATTCTAACGGATTTCATTCGATTTCTCCATTTCATTCCATTCGTTGATCATTCCATTCTTTTCCATTTGATGATGATTCCATTATATTCCATTCGATGGTGATTCCATTTGATTCCATTCAGTGATGATTCCATTCGATTCCATTCAATGATGATTCCATTGGATTCCATTCGATGATTCCATTCAATTCAATTCAATGGTGATTCCATTCAGGTCCATTGGATGATTCCATTTGATTCCATTCGATGATGATTCCATTCGAGTACATTCAATGATTCCATTCAAGTCTTTTCAATTACTTTCAATTCCATTTGATGATTCCATTCGAGTCCATTCGATGATTCCATTGAAGTCCATTTGATTTTCCTTTTGATTCCACTCGATGTTGATTCCATTTGAGTCCATTCGATTATTCCATTCAAGTACATTCCATGATTTCATTCGACTCCATTCGATGATATTTCCATTCGAGTCCATCCGATGTTTCCATTTGATTACATTCGGTGATGACTCCATTCCATTCCATTCAATGATTCCATTCAAGTGCATTCAATGATTACATTCCAGTCCATTAAATGATTCCATTCATTTCCATTCGATGATGACTCCATTCGAGTCCATTCAATGATGATTCCATTCGATTCCATTCAATGATACCATTGGATTCCATTCTTTTGTTTTATTTTGATTCGTTTTGGTGATGATTCCATTCGATTACATTTGATAATCCCATTCTATTCTATTTGATGATGATTCCATTCGATTCCATTTGATGAAAATTCCATCCGATTCCATTCGTTGATGATTCCATTCAATTCTATTCAATGAGGATTCTATTCAATTCCATTCAATGATGATTCCATTCGATTCCATTCGATGATGATTCCTTTTGAGACCATTCGATGATTCCATTCACTTCATTCGATGATGATTCCATTCAATTCCATTAGATGATTCCGTTAGAATCCATATGATGATGATTCCATTCGATTCCATTCAATGATGATTCTATGCGATTCCTTTGGATGATGACTCCTATCGTTTCCATTTGATGATTATTCCTTTCGACTCCATTTGATGTTGATTCTTTTGATTCCGTTCGATGATGTTTCCATTTGATTCCATTCGCAGATGATTCCATTCGATTTCATTAGATGATTCCATTCGATTCCATACAATGATGATTCCATGCGAGTCCCATTTGATGATTCCATTTGATTACATTTGATGATGATTCCATTCGATTCGATTAGATGATTCCATTCGATGCCTTTTGATGATTATTCCATTGGAATACATTTGGTGATTCCTTTCCATTCCAATTGAAGATGATTCCTTTCTATTCCATTCAGTGATAACATTCGATACCATTCGTTGATGATTCCATTTGAATGCATTCGATTATACCATTCGATTCCATTTGATGATGATTCCTTTCGATATCATTTGATGATTCCATTCAATTCCATTCTATGATGATTCCATTCGAGTCCATTTGATGATTCCATTGGAATCCATTTGATGATGATTCCATTCAATGATTCCATTCGATTCTATTCGATGGTGATTCCATTTGATTTCATTCAATGCTGATTCCATTTAATTCCATTCGATGATTCTATTTGATTCCATTCGATGATTCCTTTCGATTACATTTGACGATGATTGTATTCGATTCCATTTGATGATTCCATTCAATTCTATTCGATGATGATTCAATTCGATTCCATTCGATGATGACAGCATTCGATTCCATTCGATTATTCCATTTGATTCCATTCGATGATCATTCCGATCGATTCCATTCGATGATTCCATTCGATATCATTCAATGATTCCATTTGATTCCATTCGATAATGATTCCATTCTTGTCCATTCGATGATTCCATTCAAGCCCATTCGATAATTCCATTTAATTCCATTCGATGATTCCATGCAGGTCCATTCGATCATTCCATTTGAGTCCATTTGATGATGATTCCATTCGAGTACATCCAATTATTCCATTCATTTCCATTCGATGATGATTCCTTTTGAGTCCATTCAATGATTCCATTCAAGTCCATTTGATGATGCCTTTCAATTCCATATGATGATGATTCCATCCGAGTCCATTCAATGATTCCACTCTATTCTTTCCATGATGATTCCATTCATGTCCATTCGATGATCCATTTGTCTTAGTTCAATGATGATTCCATTCGATTGTATTTGACGATTCCATTCTATTCCATTCGATGATGATTCCATTTGACTCCATTCGATGATTCCATTCGATTCAATTTAATGATTCCATTGGGTTCAATTCGATGATGATTAAATTGGATTCCATTCTATGTTTCCATTCGATTCCATTCGTTCATGATTCCATTCGATTAAATTCGATGATGATTCCATTCTATTTCCTTCTATGATTCTAATCGATTCCATTCGATGATGATTCAATTCTATTCCATTCGATGATTCCATTCGATGATGATTCCATTCGATGATGATTCTATTCAATTCGACTCGATGATGATTCCATTCTATTCCATTCGATGATGATTCCATTCGAGTCCATTCGAAGATTCCATTCGATTACATTCCATGACGATTCAATTTGATTCCATTCTATGATTCTGTTCGATTCCATTTGATGATGATTTCATTCGATTCTATTCAATGATTCCATTCAATTTCATTCGATGATGATTCAATTTGACTCCATTCAATGATTCCATTCTATTCCAGTTGATGATGATTCCATTCGATTCCATTTCATGTTTCCATTGGATTCCATTTGATGATGATTCCATTCCATTCCATTCAATGATTCCATTCGATTCCATTAGATGATGATTCCATTCGAGTCCATTCAATGATTCCATTCGATTCCATTCAATGATAATTCCATTCGAGTCCATTTGATGATTCTATTTGATACTATTCGATAATGATTCCACTCGAGTCCATTCGATGATTGCTTTTGAGTCTATTTGAAGATTCCATTCGATACCATTTGATGATGTTTCCATTCGAGTCCATTCAATAATTCCATCCGATTCCATTTGATGATGTCTGCATTTGATTCCATTTGATAATGATTCCAACGGATTTCATCGGATGACTCCATTCAATTCAATTCTTTGATGATTCCATTCGATTCCATTCGATTATGATTCCATTCAATTCCATTCAATGATGATTTCATTCAATTCCATTCCATGATGATTCCATTCGATTCCATTCAATGATGATTCCATTCAATTCCATTCTATGATTCCATTCGATTCCATTCGATGATGATTCCATTCGATTCCATTCTATCATTCCATTCGATTCCATTTGATGATTCCATTTGATTCCATTCGATGATGATTCAATTCGAATCCATTCGATGATTCCATTTGATTCTATTTGATGATGATTCCATTAGAGTCCATTTGATGATTCCATTCAAGTCCATTTGATGATTCCTTTCGATTCCACTCGAAGTTGATTTCATTCGAGTCCATTCGATGACTCTATTCGAGTGCACTCTATTATTCCATTCAATTCCATTCGATGATGATTCCATTCGAGTCCATTCGATGATTCCATTTGATTTTATTCGATGATGATTTCATTTGTTTCTGTTTAATGATTCCATTCGAGTCCTTTCAATGATGATTCCATTCAATTGCATTCGATGATGATTCCATTCTATTTAATTCAATGATTCTATTCGATTCCATTCAATGAAGATTCAAATCTATTCCATTCGATGATTCCATTCGATTCCATTCGATAATGATTCCATTCAATGATGATTCCATTGAATTACATTCGATAATGATTTGATTCAAGTCCATTCGAAGATTCCATTCGATTATATTCCATAACGATACCATTTGTGTTCATTCGATGATTCCATTTGACTCCATTTGAGGATGATTCCATTCAATGCTATTCGATGTTTCCCATCTATTCCATTCGATGATTATTCCATTCATCTCCATTCGATGATTCCATTCGAGTCCATTTGATTATTCCATTGCATTCCTTTTGATGATGATTCCATTTGATTCCATTCAATGATGATTGCATTCGTGTCCATTCGATTATTCCATTTGATTCCATTCGATGCTGATTCCATTCTAGTCCATTCGATGATTCCATTCGATTCCATTTGATGTTGATTCCATTCGAGTCCTTTCGATGATTCCATTTGATTCCATTCTCCGATGATTTCTTTCGAGCCCATTCAATGCTTCCACTCTATTCCATACAATGATGACTCCATTTGATTAAATTTGATGATGATTCCATTTGATTGCATTTGATGATGATTCCACTGGGTTCCATTCGAAGATTCCATTTGATTACATTCCATGAAGATTCCATTCGAGTCCATTCGATGATTCCATTCGACTCCATTCGACGATGATTCCATTCGATGCTATTCGATGATTCAATTCAATTTCATTTGATGATGATTCCATTCAACTCCACTCGAAGATTCCATTCGAGTTCATTCGATGATTCTATTCGATTCCATTTGATCATGATTCCATTCGGGTCCATTTGATGATGACTGCATTCAATTCCATTCGATGATTCCATCTGATTCCAATTGATGAAGATTCCAATCAATTCCATTCAATGATTCCTTTTGATTCCATTCTATGATTCCATTAAATTCCATTCGATAATGATTCCATTCGAGTCCATTTGATGATTCCATTCAAGCCCATTCCATAATTCCATTTGAGTCCAATCCTTGTTTCCATTCGATTCCATTCGATCATTCCATTTGAGTCCATTTGATGATGATTCCATTCGAGTCCATTCAGTGATTCCACTCGAGTCCATTCAATAATTACTTTTCAGTCCATTCGATGATGGCTTTTGATTCCATTCCATGATATTCCATTCGAGTCCATTCAATCATTCCATTCGATTCTATTCAATGATGTTTCCATTTGTTTTGATTCGGTGATTCCATTTGATTTCATTCGATGATGATTCCTTTCAAGTTCATTAGATGATTCCATTCGATTCCATTTGATGATGATTCCATTCGAGTCCATTCAGTGATTCCATTCGAATCCATTTGAGGATGATTCCATTCCATTCCATTCCATTCGTTGATTCCATTTGATTCCGTTCAATGATGATTTCATTCAATTCCATTCGATGATTCCATTTGTTTCCATTTGATGATGATTCCATTCGAGGCATTCAATGATTTTATTCGAATCCATTTGATGATTGCTTTCTATTATATTTGATGATGATTCCATTCGAGTCCATTCAATGATTCCATTCGATTCCATTCGATATTCATTCCATTCGAGTCCATTTGATGATTCCATTTGATTCCATTTTCCGATGATTACATTCGAGTCCATTCAATGATTCCACTCGATTCCAAACAATGATGATTCCGTTCGATTCCATTCGATGATTCCATTCTATCCCATTCAATGATGATTCCATTCGAGTACATTAGATGATTCCATTCGATTCCATTCGATGATTATTCTATTCATGCGCATTAGATGATTCCACACAATTCCATTCGATGATGATACTATTCGAGTCCATTCAATGATTCCCTTCGAATCCATTCGATGATGATTCCATTCGATTCAATTCATTGGTGATTTCATTCAATTCCATTATTTCATTCCAATGCATTCGACAATGATTCCATTCGATTTCTTTCAATGAATCCACTAGATTCCACTTGAGAATGATTCCATTCGATTCCATTTAATGATTCCAATTGATTCCAGTCGATGAAGATTGCCTTCGATTCCATTTGATCATTCCATTCAATTCCATTCGATAATGATTCCTTTCCATTCCTTTTGATGATTCCATCTGATTCTATTCGAGGATTCCATTCGATGATGATTCCGTTTGATTCCATTCGATGATGATTCCATTTGATTCCCTTCGATGAATCCATTCAATTCCGTTCAATGATGATTCCTTTCGTGTTCATTGATTATTCCATTCCATTCCATTTGATGATTCCATTCTAGTCCATTCGATGATTCTATTCGATTCCATTCAATAATTTTCTTTTATTCCATTTGATGATGATTCCATTCGAATCCATTTGATGATAATTCCATTCGATTCTATTCGGTGAAAACTTTCGATTCCATTAGGTGAAAACTTTCGATTCCATTTGATAATAATTCCATTTGAGACCATTCGATGATTGCATTCAATTCATTCAATGATGATTCCATTCAATTCAATTCGATGATTCCACTAGATTCCATTTGATGATGATTCCATTCGATTTCATTCGATGATGATTCCTTGCAATTCCATTCGATAATGACCTCTTTCAGTTCCATTCAATGATGATTCCATTCGTTTCCATTCGATGAAAATTCCTTTGGATTCCATTCGGTAATGATTGCATTCCACTACATTTGATGTTAATTCATTTCGATTCCATTCGATGATGATTCCATTGGAGAGCATTCATGATGATTCCGTTTGAGTCCATTTGATGATTCCATTTGATTACATTTGATGATGCTTTCAATTCCATTTGAGTCAATTCAATGATTCCATTCGATTCCATTTGATGATGATTCCATTCATGTCCATTGATGATTCCAATCAATTTCATTCAATGATGATTCCTTTTGAATCCATTCAATGATTCCATTCAGTACCATTTGATGGTTATTCCATTCGAATTCATTTAGGGATTCGCTTTCGATTCCATTGAAGATTATTCCATTCGATTCCTTTCCATTGATTCAATTTGTTTACATTCATTGATGATTACATTCGAGTCCATTTGATGATTACTTTTGATTCCATTTGATGATGATTCCATTCGAGTCCATTAGATGATTCCATTTGATTTCATTCGATGCTAACTCCATTCGAGCCATTCGATGATTCTATTCGAATGCATTTGATGATTGCTTTTGATTATATTCGATTATGATTCCATTCGATTCCATTCAATGATTCCATTCGATTCCATTCGATGATGATTCCATTTGACGTCATTCAATGATTCCATTCGTTTTCATTCAATTATGATTCCATTCAATTGCATTAGATGATTCCATTTGATTCCATTCGATCATGATTCCATTCGAGTCCGTTCAATGATTCCATTTGATTCCATTTGATGATGATTCCATTCGGGGCCATCCGAAGTTTCCATTCAATTCCATTTGATGATTCCATTCGAGTATTTTCGATGATTTCATTTGAATCCATTGGAGGATGATTGCTCTTGATTCCATCCCATGATTATTCCATTCGATTCTATTCGATGATGATTCCATTCAGGGCCATTCAAAGATTCCATTCAATTCCATTCAATGATTCCTTTCGAGTACATCTGATTATTTCATTTGAGTCCATTCAAGGATGATTGTTTTTGATTCCATTTCATGATTATTCCATTCGATTCCATTCGATGATGATTCCATTCGATTCCATTCCATGATGATTTCATTCGCATCCATTTGATGATTCCATTTGATTCCATTCTCCGATGGTTACATTCGAGTCCTTTCGATGATTCTACTCGATTCCATACGATGATGATTCTGTTCAATTCCATTCGATGATTCCATTCTATTCCATTCAATGATGATTCCTTTCGAGTACATTAGATGATTCCATTCGATTCCATTCGATGAGTATTATATTCTTGCCCATTAGAATATTCCACAGGATTCCATTCGATGATGATTCCATTCTAGTTTATTCGAAGATTCCATTCGATTCCATTTGATGATGATTCCATTCGATTCCATTCATTGGTGATTCCATTCAATTCAATACACTGATTCCATTCGATTCCATTCAACAATGATTCCATTCGATTCCATTCGAAGATTCCACTCGATTCCACTTGATGATGATTCCCTTCTATTTCATTCAATGATTCCTCTTGATTCCATTAGATGATGATTGCCATCGATTCCATTCAATGATTCCATTCAATTCCATTCGTTGATGATACCGTTCGATTCCATTTAATGATTCCATTTGATTCTATTCGAGGATTCCATATGATTCCATCCGATTATGATTCTATTCGAGTCCATTTGATGATTTCATTCGAGTCCATTCAATGATTCCATTCAAGTCCATTTGATGATTCCATTCGATTCCACTTGATGATGATTCCATTAGAGTCCATTCAATGACTCCATTCGAGTCCATTCAGTGATTCCATTCAATTCCATCTGATGATTCCATTCGCGTCCATTTGGTCACTATATTCGAGTCCATTCAGTGATTCCATTGGATTTCTTTTGATGATGATCACATTCGATTCCATTCAATGATGATTTCAGTCGAGTCCATTCGATGATTCCATTCAATTCCATTCAATAATGATTCCATTCGTTTCCATTCAATGATTCTTTTTGAGTTCCTTCGTTGATTCCATCTGATTCCATTTGATGATGATTCATGTCCATTCGATGATTCCATTCCATTCCATTCAATGATAGTCCCATTCGAGTCCATTCGATGATTATTCCATTGGATTCCATTAAATGATTCTGTTCAATTCCATTCGATGATTCCCTTCGATTTCTTTCCTTGATGATTCCATTCCATTCCATTTGATGATTACATTCGATTCTATTCCATAATGATTCCTTTCTATTCCATTTGCTGATGATTCCATTCAATTACATTTGATGATGATTTCATTAGATTCCATTAGATGACGACTATATTCGATTCCATTCATGATGATTCCAAAGGATTCCATTCGATTTCTCCATTTGATTCCATTCGTTGATGATTCCATTCGATTCTATTACATGATGATTCCATTAGATTCCATTCGATGATTCTGTTGGATTCCATTCTTTGTTTTATTTTGATTTTTTTGATGGTGATTTCTTTCTCTTTCTTTCAATGATCCCATCCAATTCTATTCCATGATGATTCCATTCGATCCCTTTTGATGAAAATTCCATTCGATTCCATTCGATGATTCCCTTCGATTCCATTCGATGATGATTCCATTCGATTCCTTTAGAAGATTATTCCATTCGAGTTCATTCAGTGATTCCTTTCTATGCCAATTGAAGATTTTTCCATTCGAGTCCATTCGATGATACCATTCGATACCATTCGTTGATGATTCCATTCGAGTGCATTTGATGATACCATTCGATTCCATTTGATGATGATTCCATTCGATGATTCCATTCAATTCCATTCTGTGATAATTCCATTCGAGTCCATTTGATGATTTCTTTGGACTCCATTTGATGAAGATTCCATTCAATGATTCCATTCGATTCTATTCGATGATGATTCCAGTCGTTTTCGTTTGATGCTGATTCTATTCAATTCCATTCGATCATTCAATTTGACTCCATTCAATGATTCCATTCGATTCCATTTGATGATTCCGTTTGATTCTATTCAATGATGATTCCATTCGATTCCATTCAATAATGACTCCATTCTATTCCATTTGATGATACTATTCGATTCTATTCGATGACGATTCCTTTCCATTACATTCAATGATGACTCCATTCAATTCCATTCGATGCTTCCATTTGATTCCATTCGATGTTGATTCCATTTTTGTCCATTCAATTATTCCATTCGTTTCCATTCGATGATGATGCCATTCGAGAACATTCAGTGATTCCATTCAAATCCGTTTGATTCCTTTCAATTCCATTTGATGATAATTCCATTCGAGTCCATTCAATGATGATTGCATTCGTGTCCCTTCGATGATTCCATTCAATTCCATTCAATGATGATTCCATTCGAGTCTATTCATTGATTCCATTCGATTCCATTCAATCATGATTCCATTTGAATCCATTCGATGATTTCACTCGATTCCATTCAATGACTTCGTTCAATCCCATTGGATGATTCCCTTCGAATCCATTTCATGATCATTCCATTTGATTAAATTCGGTGATTCCATTCGATTCTATTCAATGATTCTTCCAATCGAATCCTGTAGATGATGATTCCATTTGATTCCATTTGATTATGATCATTTTCAATTCCATTTGATGATGATTCCATTCGAGTCCATTTGATGATTCCATTCGATTCCATTCGATGATGATTCCACTCAAGTCCATTTGATGATTTCATTAGAGTCCATTCGATGATTTCATTAGATTCCATTCGAAGATTATTCCATTCGATGTCATTCGATGATTTCATTTGAATCCTT
Source organism: Homo sapiens (assembly GCF_000001405.40). Lineage (NCBI taxonomy): Eukaryota > Metazoa > Chordata > Mammalia > Primates > Hominidae > Homo > Homo sapiens. Next base: position 60,923,077 of record NC_000007.14, read on the forward strand.
TAAATGATGATTCCATTCGTGTATATTCGATGTTTCCATTCTATTCCATTTGATGGTCATTCCATTCGAGGCCATTTGATGATTCCATTCAATTCCATTCGATGATGATTCCATTTTAACCCATTTGATGATTCCATTAGATTCCATTCGATGATGACTGCATTCGGTTCCATTTGATGATGATTCCAACGGATTCCATTCTATTTCTTCATTTGATTCCATTCGTTGATGATTCCATTCGTTTCCATTATATGATGATTCCATTAGATTCCATTTGATGATGATTCCATTTGTTTCCATTCAATGACGATTCCATTTAATTCCATTCAATTGTGATTCCACTCAATTCCATTCATTGATTCCATTCGGTTCCATTCGATGGTGATTCTATTCAAGTGCATTCAATGATTCCATTCGATTTCACTCGATGATACTTCAATTAGAGTCCATTTGATGATTCCTTTCAATTCCATTTGATGATGATTCCATTCGAGTCCATTCGATGATTGTATTCAAGTCCATTCGATTCCATTTGATTCCATGCAATGATGATTCCATCGAGTCCATTCGATGATTCCATTTGATTTCATTCGATGATGAATGTATTTGGTTCCATTCGATGATGAACCCAAAGGACTCCATTTGATGACTCCTTTCGATTCCATTCATTGATGATTCCATTGGATTCCATTCGATGATGTTTCCATTCAATTCCATTCATTGATGATTCCATTCGATCCCATTCAATGATGTTTCCATTCGATTCCATTCAATGATGATTCCATTCGACTCCATTCCATGATTACTCCATTCGATTCTATTCAAAGATGATTCCATTCAATTCCATTCATTGATTCCTTTTGATTCCATTCAATGATGATTCCATTTGGCTCCATTCGATGATTCCTTTCGATTCCATTCGATTATGATTCCATTCGATGATTCCATTCAAGTGCATTCCATGATGTTATTTGATTCCATTCGATGATGATTCCATTCGAGTCCATTCGATGATTCCATTTTATTTCATTCCATGATGATTCCATTCAATTCCATTCGATGATCCCATTCGAGTCCAATTGTTCCTTTCGAGTCCGTTAAATGATTCCATTCGATTCCATTTTATAATGACTCCATTCGAATCCATTCTATGATGATTCCATTTCATTCCATTCGATGATTCTGTTGGATTCCATTCTTTGTTTTATTTCGATTTTTTTGATGGTGATTTCTTTCTCTTTCTTTCAATGATCCCATCCAATTCTATTCCATGATGATTCCATTCGATCCCTTTTGATGAAAATTCCATTCGATTCCATTCGATGATTCCCTTCGATTCCATTCGATGATGATTCCATTCGATTCCTTTAGAAGATTATTCCATTCGAGTTCATTCAGTGATTCCTTTCTATGCCAATTGAAGATTTTTCCATTCGAGTCCATTCGATGATACCATTCGATATCATTCGTTGATGATTCCATTCGAGTGCATTTGATGATACCATTCGATTCCATTTGATGATGATTCCATTCGATGATTCCATTCAATTCCATTCTGTGATAATTCCATTCGAGTCCATTTGATGATTTCTTTGGACTCCATTTGATGAAGATTCCATTCAATGATTCCATTCGATTCTATTCGATGATGATTCCAGTCGATTTCGTTTGATGCTGATTCTATTCAATTCCATTCGATCATTCAATTTGACTCCATTCAATGATTCCATTCGATTCCATTTGATGATTCCGTTTGATTCTATTCAATGATGATTCCATTCGATTCCATTCAATAATGACTGCATTCTATTCCATTTGATGATACCATTCGATTCTATTTGATGATGATTCCATTCTTGTCCATTTGGTGATTCCATTCGATTTCATTCGATGATGATTCGTTTTGAGTGCATTAGATTATTCCATTCTATTCCATTTGATGATTATTCCATTCAAGTCCATTCAGTGATTCCATTCGATTCCATTCGATGATTACATTCAATTCCATTTGATGATGATTTCATTCGAGTCCATTCGATGATTCCATTTGATTCCATTCCATGCTGATTTCATTCCAGTCTATTTGATGAATCCATTTGATTCCATTTGATGATTATTACATTCTAATCCATTCGATGATTCTATTCGAATCCATTTGATGATTGCTTTTGATATTTGATGATTATTCCATTCGAGTCGATTCGATGATTCCATTCGATTCCATTCAATAATGATTCCATTCGAGTCCATTTGATGATACCAATTGCTTCCATTATCCGATGATTACATTGGAGTCCATTCGATGATTCCACTCGATTCAATATGATGTATATTCTTTTCAATTCCATTCGATGATTCCATTCTATTCCATTCAATGACGATTCCATTCGAGTACATTAGATGATTCCATTCAATTCCATTCGATTATGATTCTATTCGTGCCCATTAGATGATTTCACATGATTCCCTTTGATAATGATTCCATTCAAGGGCATTCGTTCATTCCATTTGATTCCATTCAATGATGATTCCATTTCATTCAATTCATTGGTGATTCCATTCAATTACATTCATTGATGAAATTCTATGCCATTCGACAATGATTCCATTCGATTCCATTCGATGATTCCACTCGATTCCACTTGACAATGATTGCCTTCAATTCCATTCTATGATTCCCTATGATTCCGTTTGATGATGATTGCCTTCGATTCCATTTTATGATTCCATTTGATTCCATTCAATGATGATTCCGTTCGTGTCCATTCAGTGATTCCATTCGATTTCATTCGATGATGATTCCTTTTGAGTGCATTAGAGGATTCCGTTTGATTGCATTTGATGATGATTCCATTCGAGTCCATTCAGTGATTCCATTTGATTCCATTCGATGATTATTCCATTCAATTCCATTCGATGATTCCATTCAATTCCATTCGATGATGATTTCATTTGAGTCCATTCGATGATTCCATATGATTCCATTCTGTGATGATTCCATTCGAATCCATTCGATCGTTCTATTCGAATCCATTTGATGATTGCTTTTGATATTTGATGATTATTCCATTCGAGTCCATTTGATGATTACATTCGATTTCATTCGTTGATGATTCCATTCGAGTCCATTTGATGATTCCGTTTGCTTCCATTCTCCAATGATTACATTCAAGTCCATTCGATGATTCCACTCCATTCCATATGATGTTGATTCCATTCAATTCCATTCGATGATTCCATTCTATTCCATTCAAGGACGATTCAATTCGAGTACATTGGACGGTTCCATTCGATTCCATTCGATGATGATTCTATTCGTGCTCATTAGATGATTTCACATGATTCCATTTGATAATGATTCCTTTCGAGTGCATTCGATGATTCCACTTGATTCCATTCGATGATGATTCTATTCCTTTCAATTCCTTGTTGATTCCATTCAATTCCATTCATTGATTCCATTCCATGCCATTCGACAATGATTCCGTTTGATTCCATTCGATGATTCCACTCGATTCCACTTGACAATGATTCCCTTCGATTTCATTCGATGATTCCCTTTGATTCCATTTGACGATGATTTCCTTCGATTCCATTTGATGATTCCTTTTGATTCCATTCGATGATGATTCTTTTCAATTCCATTTGATGATTCCATTTGATTACATTCGAGGATTCCACTTGATATCATTCAATGATCATTCCTTTCAATTCCATTCAATGATTTCATTCAATTCCAAAGATGATGATTCCATTCAAGGCCATTCAAGGAGTCCATTCGATTCCATTCGATGATGCTTCTATGCGATGCCATTAGATGTTTCCATTCGATTCCATTTGATGATGATTCCATTCGTGTCCGTTCGATGATTCTATTCGATTCCACTCGCTGATAATTCTTTTGATTCCACTCGATGTTTCATTTTTATTCCATTCGATGACAATTCCATTCGAGTCCATTCGTTGATTGTTTTCTTGTCTATTCGATGATTCATTTCGATTCCATTTGATGATGATTCCATTCGAGTCCATTCAATAATTCCATCTGATTCCATTCGATGATGACTGCATTCGGTTCCATTCGATAATGATTCGAACGGACTCCATTCGATGACTCCATTCGATTACATTCATTGATGATTCCATTCGATTCCATCCAATGATGATTCCATTCAATTCCATTCGATGCTTCCACTTGATTCCATTCGACGATGATTCCATTCGTGTCCATTTGATGATTCCATTCGATTCCATTCAATGATGATTCCATTCGAGTCCATTCGATGATTCCATTCAAGTCCATTCGATGTTTCCTTTTGATTCCACTCGACATTGATTCCATTTGAGTCCATTCGATGATTACATTTGAGTGTGTTCCATGATTTCATTCGATTCCATTCAATGATCATTCTATTCGAGTCCATTCTATTATTCCATTTTATTTCATTCGATGATGCTTCCATTCGATTCCAATCAATGATTCCATTCGAGTCCATTTATGATTCCATAACATTCCATTCGATGGTGATTCCATTAGATTCCATTCGATGATGATTCCATTCAATTCCCTTCATTGATGATTCGATTAGATTCACTGTGATGATGGTTCCATTCAACTCCATTCAAAGATGATTCCATTCGATTCCATTCCATGATGATTCCATTCGACTCCATTAGATGATGATTCCATTCGACTCCATTTGATGATGATTCCATTCGATCCCATTCGATGGTTCAATTCAATTCCATTCGATGTTTCCATTCGATTCCATTCGATGATGATTCCATTCGATTCCATTCCGTGACGATTGCATTCGATTCCACTCGATGTCTCCATTTAATTCCTTTTGATAATGATTCCATTCGTGTCCATTGGATGATTCCATTCGATTCTTTTCAGTGATGATTATGTTTGATGCCATTCAATGATTCCATGCCATTCCATTCGATGATGATTCCTTTCGATTCCATTCCGTGAATCCTTTCGATTCCATTTGATGATGATTCCATTCGAGCCCATACAATGATTCCATTCAATTCCATTCGATGGTGATTCCATTCGGGTCCATTTAATGATTCCATTCAATTCGGTTCGAAGATGATTCCATTTGAGTCCATTCGATGATTCCATTCAAGTCCATTCGATTATTCCTTTTGATTCCATTTGATGATGATTCCATTCGATTCCATTCAATGATTCCACTCAATTCCATTCGATGATGATTCCATTCATGTCCATTTGATGATTTCATTTGATTCTATTTGATAATGATTCCATTCGAGGCCATTCAATGATTGCATTCGAGTCCGTTTGATGATTTCATTCGATTCCACTCGATGATGATTCCTTTTGAGTCCATTTGATGATTCGATTTGTGTCCATTCGATGATTCCATTCGATTCCATTCGATGAGGACTCCATTCGAGTCCATTCAATGATTCCATTAGATTCCACTCGATGATGATTCCATTTGAGTTCATTCAAAGATTCAATTCGAGTCCATTCGATGATTCCACTCGATTCCACATGATGATGATTCCTTTTGAATCCATTCGGTGTTTCCTTTCGAGTGCATTCAATGATTCCTTTCGATTCCATTTGATTATGATTACATTCTATTCCATTCTATGATGATTCCATTCGATTGTATTTGATGACTCCATTTGATTACATTTGATAGTTATTCCATTCTTGTCCATTAGGTGATTCCATTTGATTCTTATCAATGATGATTCCGTTTGATGCCATTCGATGACTTCATGCGATTCCATTCAATGATAATTCCATTAGATTCCATTCAATGATTCCATTCGATTCCATTTGATGACGATTCCATTCGACTCCTTTCGATTATTACATTCAATTCCATTAGATGATGATTCCATTCGGGTCCAATCAATGATTCCATTCGTTTCGGTTTGATGATTATTCCATTTGAGGCCATTCGATGATTCCATTCGAGTCCATTCGATTATTCCTTTTAATTCCATATGATGATGATTCCATTCGATTCCTTTCAATGATTCCATTCAATTCTATTCAATGATGATTCCATTCGAGGCCATTCGATGATTGCATTCGAGTCCATTTGATGATTTCACTTGATTCCACTCGGTGACGATTCCTTTTGAGTTCATTCGATGATTCAATTCGAGTCCATTCAATGATTCCATTCGATTGCATTCGATGATGATTCAATTCGAGGCCAGTCGATGATTCCATTGGAGTCCATTTGGTGACTCCTTTCTATTCCATTCGATGAGGACTCCATTCGAGGCCATTCGATGATTGCATTAGGTTCGATTCAATGATGATTCCATTCGAGTCCATTCAAAGATTCAATTCGAGTCCATTCAATGATTCCATTCGATTCCACTTGATGATGATTCCTTTCAAGTCCATTCAATGATTCCTTTTGAGTGCCTTCAATGATTCCAATCAATTCCATTCGAGTCCATTCAATGATTCCATTCAGTTGCATTAGATGATTCCATACGATTTCATTTGGTGATGATTCCATTTGAGTCCATTTGATGATTCCATTCGATCCCTTTCGAGCATGATTCCATTCGAGTCCATTCGACAATTCCTTTCCATTCCATTCCATGATGATTCCATTCGATTCCATTCGATGATTATTCCATTCGATTCCATTCCATGATGATTCCTTTCGATTCCATTCAATGATTATTCCATTCGAGTCCATTCAATGATTCCTTTCGATTCCATTCAATGATTCTATTCGATTCCACTTGATGATGATTGCATTCGAGTCCATTCGATGATGATTCCATTCGACTAAATTTGATGATTCCAATCGATTTCATCCGATGATTGGAGTCCATTCAGTGATTCCTTTAGATTCCACTCAAAGATGATTCCATTCAGTTCCATTCCATGATACCATTCCATTCCATTCATTGATGATTCCATTCGATTCCATTTGATGATTCCATTTAATTCCTTTTGATGATGATTCCATTCGATTCAGTTTGATGATTCCATTCCATTCCATTCAATGATGATTCAGTTCTTGTCCACTTGATGATTCCATTCTTTTCCATTCAATGATTATTCCATTCGAGTATATTCAATGATTCCATTCGAATCAATTCTATGATGATTATATTCGATTCCATTCGATGATTCCATTTGATTCCATTCGATGATTCCATTCAATTCTATTCGAAAATGATTCCAATCGATTCCATTCGATGATGATTCCATTGAATTCCATTAGACAATGATTCCATTCGATTCCATTCGATGATTCCATTTTACTCCATTCGATATTGATTCCATTCGTGTCCATTCGATGATTCCATTTGAGCCCATTCGACAATTCCATTTGAGGCCAATCAATGATTCCTTTCGAGTCCATTCGATTTCTCCATTTGATTTCATTCGTTGATGATTGCATTCGTTTCCATTAGATGATTACTTTCAATTCCATTCAATGATGATCCCATTTGATAACATTCAATGATTATTCCATTCGATTCCTTTCATTGATTCCATTTGATTCCATTTGACGATGATACCATTTGTGTCGATTCTATTATTCCATTTGATTCCATTTGATGATGATTCCATTCGAATCCATTCAATGATTTCATTCAAGTCCATTTGATGATTCCTTTCAATTCCATTCGATGATGATTCCATTCGATGCTATTCAATGATTCCATTCGTTTTCATTCGATGATGATTCCATTTGACTCCATTCAATGATTCCATTCGAGTCCATTCAATTATTTCATTAGATTCCATTTGATGATGATTCCATTCGATGCCATTTGATGATTCCATTTGATTCCATTCAATGATGATTACATTTGAGGTTATTTGGTAATGACTGCATTTGATTCCATTCAATGGTTACATTTGATTCCATTTGATGATGACTCTGATCAATTCCATTCGATGATTCCATTTGATACCATTTGATGATTCCATTTGATTCCATTCAAAAATGATTCCATTCGAGTCCATTCGATGATTCCATTCCAGCCCATTCAATAATTCTATTTGGGTCCAATCCATGATTCCATTAGAGTCCATTTGATCATTCATTTTGAGTCTATTTGATCATTCCATTTTAGTCCATTTGGTGATGATTCCATTCAATTATTCCATTCGAGTCCATTCCATAATTCTATTTGAGTCCATTCGATGATGCTTTTGATTCCGTTCGATGATATTCCATTCGAGTCCGTTTGATGATTCCATTCTATTCTATTTAAAGATGATTCCATTCGTGTCCAGTCTGTGATTCCATTCGATTTCATTCTATGATGACTGCATTCAGTTCCATTCGATGATGATTCCAAAAGACTCCATTTGGTGACTCCATTCGATTCCATTCATTGATGATTCCATTTGATTCCATTCGATGATGATTCCATTTGATTCCATTTGATGATGATTCCATTCGATTCCATTCAATGATGATTCCATTTGATTTCATTCGATGATTCTATTTGATTCCATTCTATGATGATTCCCTTCTATTCCATTCGACGAATCCATTCGATTCCATGTGATGATGATTCTATTCCATTCCATTTGATGATGATTCTATTCAATTCCATTCAATGATGATTCCATTTGAGTCCATTCGATGATTCCATTCAATTCCATTTGATGATGATTCCATTTGAGTCCATTCGATGATTCCATTTTATTTCAATCGATGATGATTCTATTCAACTACATTTGATGATTCCATTCTATTCCATTCGATGATGATTTTATTTGAGTCAAATCGATGATTCCATTCGAGTCCATTTAATGATTCCATTGGGTTCAATTCGATGATGATTACATTTTATTCCATTAGATGATTCCATTTGTTTCCATTCATTGATGATTCCATTAGATTTCATTCGTTGATGATTCCATTCATTTCCATTCGATGATGATTCCATTCGATTCCATTTGATGATGACTTCATTCGATTCCATTCAATGATGATTCAATTCCATTTCATTCAATTATTCTATTCGATTCCATTCGGTGATAATTTGATTCTATTGCATTCGAGTATTCCATTCAATTCCATTCGAGGTTGATTCCATTCGATTCCATTCGATGATGATTCCATTCGATTGCAATCGATGATGATTCCATTTGTGTCCATTCGAATATTAAGTTCTATTCCATTCGATGATGGTTCCATTGGTGTCCATTCGATGATTCCATTCCATTCCATTCGATGATGATTCTATTCAATTCCATTCGAGGATGATTCCATTCGTTTCCATTTAATGATTATTCCGTTTGATTACATTCGATCATTCTATTTGATTCCATTCGAAGATGAGTCCATTCTATTCCATTCGATGATTCCATTCGATTCCATTCAATGATGATTCTATTCGATTACATTTGATGATGATTCCATTCGTTTACATTCGATGATGATTCCATTCGTGTCCATTCGATGTTTCCATTTGATTCCATTCAACGACGATTCCATTCGTGTCCATTAGATCATTCCATTCGATTCCATTCGATGATGATTCCATTTGATGCCATTCTATGATTCCTTTTGATTTCATTCAATGATGATTCCATTCGAGTCCATTCAATGATTCCATTTGATTCCATTCGATAATGATTCTGCTCGATTCCTTTCGATGATTCCATTCGAGTCCATTCGATTATTCCATTAGATTCCATTTGATGATGATTCCATTTGATGCCATTAAATGTTTCAATGATGATTCCATTCGTGTCTATTCTATGATTCCATTTAATTCCATTTGATGATGATTCCATTCAAATCCCTTCGATGATTCCACTCGATTCCATTTGATGATGATTCCATTCGAGGCCATTCGAGGATTCCCCTTGATTCCATTCGATGACTCCATTCAATCCCTTTGCATGATTCCCTTTGATTCCATTCGATGATCATTCCATTTGATTCAATTCAGTGATTCCATTGGATTCCATTTGATGATGATTCCATTCGAGTCCATTCGATGATCCCATTAATTCCTTTCAATGATTACTCCATTCAAATCCATTTGATGATTCCTTTCGACTCCCTTCGATGATTCTGTTCGATCTCATTTGATGATTCTCTTTGATTCCATTCAATTATCATTCCATTCTATTCAATTCGGTGATTCCATTCGATTCCATTCAATTATGATTCCATTTGATTTGATTCGATTATGATTCCATTCAATTCCATTCGATGATGACTTCGCTGGGTTCCATTTGATGATGATTCATTCGGTTCCATTTGATGATGTTTCCATTTGGTTCCATTCGATGATTCCATTCGATTATGTTTGTTGACAATTCCATTCAATTCCACTCAATGATGATTCCATTCAATTTCATTCGATGATGATTCTATTTGATTCCATTCGATGATGATTCCATTTGATTTCATTAGATGATTCTATTTGATTCCATTCGATGATGATTCCCTTCTATTCCATTCGATGACTCCATTTGATTCCATTTGATGATGATTCTGTTCAATTCCATTTGATGATGATTCTGTTTGTTTCCATTCGATGATGATTCCATTCGAGTCCATTCGATGATTCCATTCAATTCCATTCGATGATGATTTCATTCGTGTCCATACGATGATTCCATTTGATTTCATTCGATGATGATTCTATTCAATTCCATTCGATGATTCCATTCTATTCCATTCGATGGTGATTCCATTTGAGTCGAATCAATGATTCCATTCGAGTCCATTTAATGATTCCATTGGGTTCAATTCGATGATGATTACATTTTATTCCATTCAATGATTCCATTTGTTTCCGTTCGTTGATGATTCCATTGAATTCCTTTCAGTGATGATTCCTTTTGATTTCATTCGTTAATGATTCTATTCGGCTCCATTTGATGATGATTCCGTTTGATTCCATTTGATAATGATTTCATTCGATTCCATTCAATGATGATTCCATTCCATTTCATTCGATGATTCTATTTGATTCCATTCGATGATGATTCAATTCTATTGCATTCGAAGATTCCATTCAATTCAATTTCATGATGATTCCTTTCTATTCCATTTGATGATGATTCCATTCAATTGCAATCAATGATGATTCCATTTGAGTCCATTCGAAGTTTCCATTAGATTCCATTCAATGATGGTTCCATTGGTGTCCATTCGATGATTCCATTCCATTCCATTCGATGATGATTCTTTTCAATAACATTCGATGATGATTCTATTCACTTCCATTCGATGATGATTCCAATCGTTTCCATTCAATGATGATGCCATTTGATTGCATTCGATGATTCTATTTGATTCCATTCGAAGATGAATCCATTCTATTCCATTCGATGATTCCATTCGATTCCATTCGATGATGATTCTATTCGATTACATTTGATGATGATTCCATTTGAATCCATTCGATGATGATTCCATTCATGTCCATTCGATGTTTCCATTTGATTCAATTCAACGACGATTACATTCAAGTCCATTAGATCATTCCATTCGATTCCATTCAATGATGATTCCATTTGATGCCATTCAATGATTCCATTCGATTTCATTCAATGATGATTCCATTCTAATCCATTTGATGATTCCATTCCATTCCATTCGATCATGATTCCATTAGAGTCCATTTGATGATTCCATTCGATTCCATTTGATGATGATTCCATTTGAGTCCATTCGATGATTCCATTCGATTCCATTCGATGATGATTCCATTTGTGTCCATTAGATCAATCTATTTGATTCTATTCGATGATGATTCCATTCGAGTCCATTCGATGATTCCATTCGATTCCATTCTCCGATTATTACATTCAAGTCCATTCTTTGATTGCACTCGATTCCATATGATGAAGATTCCATTCGATTCCATTTGATGATTCCTTTCAATTCCATTCAATGATGATTCCATTCGTGTACAATAGATGATTCCATTTGATTCCATTCGATGATGATTCTATTCGTGTCCATTACATGATTCCATTCGATTCCATTTGATGATGATTCCATTGGACTCCATTGGTTGATGATTCAATTCGATTCCATTAGATGATGATTCCATTCGATTCCATTTGATTATATTTCGATTCGATTGCATTCGGTGATGATTCCAATCGAGTCCATTTGAAGATTCCATTCGATTTCATTCAATGATGATTCCATTTGATGCCATTCGATGATTCCATTCGATTTCATTCAATGATGATTCCATTCTAATCCATTTGATGATTCCATTTCATTCCATTCGATGATGATTCCATTCGAGTCCATTCGATGATTCCGTTCGATTCCATTCGATGATGATTCCATTTGAGTCCATTCGATGATTCCATTTGATTCCATTCGATGATGATTCCATTTGGGTCCATTAGATGAATCCATTTGATTCCATTTGATGATGATTCCATTCGAGTCCATTCAATGATTCCATTCGATTCCATTCTCTGATTATTACATTCGAGTCCATGCGATGATTGCACTTGATTCCATATGATGTATATTCCATTCGATTCCATTTGATGATTCCATTCTATTCCATTCAATGATGATTCCATTTGGGTACAATAGATGATTCCATTCAATTCCATTCGATGATGATTTTATTCGTGTCCATTACATGATTCCATTCCATTCCATTTGATGATGAATCCATTCTATTTCATTCCATGATGATTCCATTCGGGTCCATTAGATGATTCCATTCGATTCCGTTCAATCATGATTCCATTCGGGTCCATTCGATGATTCCATTCTACTCCATTCGATGATGATTCCATTCAAGTCCATTCGATGATTCTACTAGAGTCCATTGAATGATTACTTTTGATTCCATTGGATGATGATTCTATTCCATTCCATTCGATGATGATTCCATTTGATACCATTCTATGATTCCTTTCAATTCCATTTGATGTTGATTCCATTCTATTTAATTCGATTATTCTATTTGAATCCATTCAATTATGATTCCATTCGATTCCATTCGATGATTCCATTTGATTACATTTGATGATGATTCCATTTGATTCCATTTGATGATTCCATTCGATTCCATTCCCATTCAATGATGATTCCATTCGAGTCCATTCGATGATTCCTTTTGATTCTATTTGATGATGATTCCATGCGAGTGCATTCAATGGTGATTTCATTGGATTCCATTCAATGATTCCTTTCAATTCCATTCAATGATGATTGCATTCGATTCTGTTCGATGGTTCCATTCGATTCCATTCAAAGATGATTCCATTTGATTCCATTCGATAATTCCATTCAATTCCATTCGATGATTCCAATGGATTCCATTTGATGATGATTCCATTCGTGTCCATTCAATGATTCCATTCAATTCCATTAGATGATTATTCCATTCGAGTGCATTCGATGTTTCCAATCAATTCCATTCAATGATAATTCCATTCGAGTCCATCCGATGACTTTATTCAATTCCATTCAATAATGATTCCCTTTGAGTCCATTTGATGATTCCATTCGAGTCGAATTGATGATTCCATTCAATTCTGTTCTGTGATGTTTCCATATGATTCCATTCGATGATGATTCCATGTGATTCCTTTCGATGATGATTCCTTTTGATTCCATTTGATTATGATTCATTTCCAGTTCATTCAATGATTCCACACGATTCCATTCGATGATGATTCCATTCGAGTCCATTCGATGATTCCTTTCGATTCCATTAGAAGATGATTCCATTTGATTCTGTTTATTGGCGATCCCATTAAATTCCATTCAATGATTCCATTCCATTCCATTCGACAATGATTCCATTTGATTCCATTCGATGATTCCGCTCGATTCCCTTTGATGATGATTCCATTCAATTCCATTCGATGATTCCATTTGATTCTATTCGATGATGATTCTATTTGATTCCATTCGATGATGATTGCCTTCAATTCCATTCGATGATTCCATTCGATTCCATTTGATGAGGATTCGGTTTGATTCCATTCGATGATTCCATTCAATTCCATTCGATGATGATTCCATTTGAGTCCATTCGATGATTCCATTCGATTCCATTCAATGATTCCATTCGAGTCCATTTGATGAATCCATTCAATTCCATTTGATGATAATTCCATTCGTGTCCATTCGATGATTCCATTCGAGTCCATTCTATAATTCCTTTCGATTCCTTTCAAAGATTACATTCGATTCTATTTGATGTTTCCATTCGAGTCCATTTGTTCATTCCTTTCGTGTCCATTCGATGATTCCATTCGATAACATTGGATGTTGATCCCATTTGATGTTGATTTCATTCGAGTCCATGTGATGTTTCCGTTTGATTCCATTCGATGATGATTCCATTCGAGTCCATTCGATGGTTCCATTCTATTCCATTCGATGAGGATTCCCTTCAAATCCATTTGATGATTCTATTCAAGTCCATTCAGTGACAGCTTTTGATTCCATTCAATGATGATTCCTTTTGATTCCATTTGATGATGATTCCATTTGATGTCATTCTATGATTCTACTCGATTCCATTCGATGTTGATTGCATTTGATTCCATTCGATTATTCTATTCGATTATTTTTGATGATGATTCCATTCAATTCCATTCTGTGTTTCCAGTTGATTACATTTGGTGATGATTCCTTTCGATTCCATTTGATGACTCCATTTGATTCCAATCGATGATGACTCCATTCAGGTCCATTCGATTACTCCTTTCAGTTCTATTCGATGATGATTCCATTCATTTCCATTCAATGATGATTCAATTCGATTCCATTCGATTCCATTCGATGATGATTCCATTCGCTTCCATTCAACGATGATTCCATTTGATTCCATTCGATGATGATTCCTTTCGAGTCCATTCGATGATGATTCCATTCAAGTCCATTGGATGATGATGCCTTTTGATTCCATTCCATGATGACTCCATTTGATTCCATTCGATGATGACTCCATTCGTTTCCATTCGATGATGATTCCGTTTGATTTCATTAGATGATACTTCCATTCTATTCCATTCGATGATGATTCCATTCCATTCCACTACATTCCAATACATCCGATTCCATTCCACTCCATTCCACTCCTCTCCTCTCCACTGCACTCCACTCCACACCATTGCATTCCATTCCATTCTATTCCACTGCTTTCCGTTCCATTCCTTTCTTTCAAGAGTGTCTCTCTGTGTCACCCATCCTGTAGCACAATGGCACAATCTCATCTCCCATTCCATTCCATTCCTCTCCATTCAATTCCATTCGATTCCATTCCATTCCATTCCATTCCATTCCATTCCATTCCATCCCATTCGAAAAAGAAAAAGAGTCACAAAGTCATACTTTTCTGCTCTTGTCAGACAGTTAAGGGTTCTTTGAATACTTCAGCCTTAATAATTTTCTTTTTATCATACATATTGCTGTGCTTATCTAATTTTAAATATATTTTTGTTTCAAAACCCAGTTTCATATTTGTTCTGTCTATATCTTTGCAATATATTTTACTCTCTGTTCATTCTTGGATTTCAGAACTTCAATCTTTCTGAAGCATATTTTCAGAGTTTCTCTGTAGTTTCTTTAGTGGAATTCTGCTGGTGGCGTTTTGTTTTTTATCTCAAAATATGTTATTTAGCCATAGGTTGATGAATATTTTTCTTCGTTTAGAAATTCAGAATGGCTTTATTATTCATAACAAATAATATTGTTTATTTTACCTTTCATTTTTTTCAGATTTCAATATGATTAAAAGTAATTTCATTTTTCTAGTGCTAATTGAAATATTTTTCCCTTCCTCGTTGTTTACTATTTCTCTAGGAGATACATAGGTGTAGGTTTATCTCCATTGTAGCTTGCTTACCATGCACGGAATTTTTGAATATGCAGATTAGTGTCTTACAAAAGTCTAGGGAACTTTCAGCCAAAATACCATCATATATAGTCCCTTCTGAGTTCCCTTCCTCTATGAGAACACTCTCTAAACACATGCTACACTTTCTCACTGTATCTTCCATGTCTCTTCATCATTCTGTCCACATTTTACATTTTTTAAAATTTTCTGTAATGCATTCTGAAATATTTATGAACTCTCACCTTGGCCATGTCTAATCTGATGAGTTCATTTTTGAGTTTTTAATTTAAAATAACTATATTTTTATACAAATTACATTCCAAATTTGCTACATGAATTTTTTAGTCTCCTAACAATATATTCATTTTTTTAAAAAATTTTTTGAAAGCAAATGTGCTTTATAATCTAACAGTGATATTTCTACTAATGAAACTTTGTGGATCTGTTTGTACTGATTTTCTGCTTTCTTTCAAATGGTGGAATATCATTTCCTTGCATACTTAGATGCCTTTGAATGACAAATATTTATTTTTCTCTGAAAATTATTTTTGTGCACTTTTGTGGATTAGTAAATAGAAAATTTGCCAAAGAGAATTTGAATTTTTTTGTGATTCTACTAAAGCCAACACCATTCTGGGACCACATTATGTTAATTCTTGGCCTGAAGGTGTTCAGACATATGTTTGGACTGCACATTTAAACAATTTTTAAATTAGTTGCTGTAAATCATTAACAATTGTGTTTCTTTAAATCTGTCCAATCTCAAGTCATTTTTATTTGCCATTTCCAGGGAATGTGAAATGGGACTAATTTATCTCTGATTCTTCTTTATACTGAGGATACAAATTTTGGTCCTAGCTTTAGGGAGGAGCTCCTGTGTGATGCCCTTTCTTGGGAAAAACTATGTATTTCTTTACTGTCCTATGTGATGTATGACAGTAGGAATCTGCACTCATTCATTTTGTTACATGTCCATAGGGCAAAATCAGTTTTGGTGTTTAGTTATATTTTGTCTGCTCCCTGCATTCCCATGGTTTTGACCTTATATTTTACTTTTATTCGTGAACATACCAGTGCTTCAAATTTTTTCCAGTAATATATTCAACTATATTATGAGAAAGAGAAAAATTTTGATAAAACACAGATTTCATGTTTTCCTTCTCTAATTGGGTTTTACTTAAAAATACAGGTAAAATTTATTTGTGCTTTTTGCTATTTCTGTTTTGCTATTCTCTGGTTGTCTATGTCTTCTCTACATAGACACAATTAGGGAATTTTGTACACTCTTGGGCCAACTGCTTTGATAGTAACAAAATGTATTTCTCGAACTCCTAGGTATAAAACTCAAGTATCCACAATTTAAATTCTTTTTTGCTCACTTCTATTATGTTTCCAGTCTCAATAGAAATCGATGCCAATCCAGAAATACAAGCATTATTCTAATACTTCTCACACATTACAGGTATAGATTAAATTTTCTAGATCTCCTTAAATACTATCATTTTTCACTACTTGTATCTTAACTGTTAAGTTCAGCATTTTCTATAATATTAATAAGTTGTAAAAATTTCCTTACTTTCTTATTTGTCCCAAGTTCAAGGTTTTGTAGGCTCTACCTCCCCCTGTGAAGCATAAATATTGTACTATGCTGTACAAATATTACATAGTTCATGTGCTTAGAGATTGCACAATTTTTATTTGGTTGATAATAGCTAATGTTTTCTTCTTCATTTTCTATTTCCTGATTTTTCTTTATGTAATATATGCTACATTATCACAAAAATGAGAACGTTTTACAAACTAAAGCAAAAGAAACCCTAGGAAAAAAATGCACAAATTAAATATATAAACATACATTTAGATGTACCATGTACACTTCTAATTTATTTAGACTTTTAATTGTAGTACAATTTCAATTAAAGTCTGTGTATTATCTGCCATCATCTTAGTATTTCTTATATAAAAAATTGTGTAAGTCAAAAAGCCTGAATGTCATTATAAAATATCTTGGCAGAGGTTGATGTCCAAGGAATAATTTCTCTCCCAAATTATGTCAATCAGAATTTTACTCTACCATAATTCTTTTAATCAGTTTCAGAGAAATCATAAATTTCAAAACTGTTCAAGGTAGTTGTTGTAGTTCAAGTACATTTAGACAGGTGTAAAACTGTAGACAGACTGATACAAACATATTCTAATTGATGCAAAAGTATATGGGACCTATTTTAAAATCTAGACTTTAAAATGTCGTGTCAACGTACACATATTCTCCTTGTGAAATAATTGCTTTTTATTCTCTGGATAGAATAATTTAATCTTTAAACCTTCATTTCACTGTTAAAAACAAAATATTACATAAGGATATGCTTATAAAAATAATTCACAACTAGCTTTTCAATTCAGAAATATATGTGAAAAATCATCAAGAATCTAATGGATTTCAAGGAGAAATGGGTTAGTAATTTATTCCATATGTCTCAATTTTTCCTAGATTCAAGGCTTCCTTTAAAACAATTGTAGGCATTTAATAAACCATGTAAACTAAAAAGAAGAAATTGTGACACTGCCGCTTAGGATTTTTAAATCTCTGGGCATGAATCAATATACTTTTTAATTTCATCTTAATTAGACATTATGTGTTCACTATCTTCCTGTCAGTAGAGCATACAAGCTGATTATCATAGATTACAAGTTCAACTATCAACTCTGTTCTGAGACTCTAAAAAAATAAATGAATGTATTTGTTTGTGTATTCTTAAAGCAGGAGTGAGGACACAGTGAAAGTGAGACAAGGAAGACAGAACAAAATAAAAGAGGAAAGATAGAAAAGCCAGTACCACACGTGTTAAGAGGCAAGTTCCTGTGTTAGATATCTGGGCTTAATTCTATGGGAAGCTATGTGGAACATTCCTCAGAATTACATCACTGAATCCAGGGAGATTCTTCTTAGTTACCCTCAACTTTTCTTCACACTTCATGCCCAGTATCAAACTCCCATGCTTCTAGAGAAAGTCCTCAGCTAGAAACAGCTGCAAATTCTGGAGATGAGACCCTGTAGAGCGTTAAGAATGGTTTTCTTCCCAGCAGCTACAGGTAAGGAATAGGGGCTGGGCTATTAATACATCTGCTACAAATCAGTATACACCTTATGCTGCTTTTGGTGATCGACAATGTATTTAAGAATATTAGATGATCAAGAAGGACTGCAGAAAGGAGGAAACAGAAACAAGCAGCACAACTCTTGGTTTATTTTTATTCATTTCATCAGTTTCAAGGAAAATGTGTTGGGAGTTCCTGGCATACAGTATATCACAAAGATATGTTTTCAATAGTGGTGCTATCCCTAGGGCAGAGAAGATCCAGAGAAAGCCCAAGTGGCTGCTGAAACAAAGTCAGACACCGTGCCACCTGTCCACACTCCTTGGCTCTGCCATCATGCTGAAGATTGGTTTAAAGGGCTGGCTCTCCTCCCCGCAAAATTAAACGAGCACAAACTGAGAAACTGAATGTGGGAGACAGCAGTGGATTATGCTGTTCTCAGGGGTCACCTCAGGTTTGGAAACATTCTTTCAAGTTAACCCATCTCAGGCCATCTGCAGAGAAGAAAGGTGGTACCTAACTTTTTTTCTTGTCAGCACTTGGTAGGGGTGTTTTATTGACCAAATATATTCCCACAACCTAGTTTTTTGTAACTAAATATAGTAGATTTTTAAATTTTATCATCAAAATCTACAGACAATTTTTTATTAAAATAGGCTCCACATCTATATCCTGCTTTTCTTCGTATTAGTTACATTGCTGTATAAAAGAACAAGACTTCAGAATCAAGAATATCTTTTCTCTTGGCATTGAATTTATACAAGGTGCTCTTTCTTTAATGCTGTCTCAAAGGACATATTTTTACTCATTAAAAAGGAAGATTGGAATCTAGTTGTATGCACTGCTCCAACATATTAATAATTAAAATTAGGATGTAAATGTGGTCAAAGCTATAGAAAGACTTGGGATGTCATTTATATTGATTACTGTATAGCACTCTACAAACAGAAGTTGTGAAATAATAGTTTATATAAATATTTTGTAGCATTTCAAATATTAGAGTGCCTGAAGTTTCTCCTCTAATATACTTCAGATTATCAATTTGAAGACTTACTCTGCTGGTTAAAAAGTTTTTAGTCTCGTTTGAGTATTATATAGAAGCAATTTTCAGTTAAATGTGTTCTGCTTACATAAAAAATTACAAATTAGTGAGTATTTAATTACATTTTCGTGTTCCTGTAATGCCTTTAGAAGATTTTCATATTATTACCTATCAATATATGTATGCTTTGTCTAAGAAACATCAATCATATACATCATCGAAGTGGAAACTTTTTAAAAGTACTTATTAATTCTATTGAAAAACCACATCCATAGGAGCAATTACAATATAATATTGTGAACATGTAACTATATATCCTATGTCTATTTTATATAGAAGCATATGTGATTAAAAATATAGTTAAGAATTTTTAAACCTAGTATTATGAAGTAAAAATTAGTTAAACTTCTGATGATTATTTGTTAATTAAGATAAAATTATTTTGATTTGGGTGATTTTAAATGAACAAAAATATTAAATTACATGACAAAAATTCTTTATAAAATGTTTACGATTTTTACATTGGTTTTATCACTTTATTCCACTATTTTATTTTACGATGACCTGCCTTGTTTAAAACACTGTATTCATCTTAAATTAAATTCCATTTGTAAAAAAGTTAACAAATGGTTTGCTCTATTATACAGTGCGGTTATAAACTGAGTCAGTATCTCAAGATTTGATCCCCATTATCGTCATCCGTGGCCCTATTTTTTTGATAAATGTAGTAACTTTTTCCATGCCTGTCACATCTCTATTGCTCATTTATTTTTCTCCTTGTCCCTTATAGGGAGCATTGCCTATCTCTAGATTAAGCAAAAGTTGCATCTTAAAAAAGCACAATAACCTGCTCAAACTTTCTCACACAGAGAAATGCTTGTTAAGTAATTAAAGTGTAGATGATGATACAAAGAGCTTGATTAAATAAGATGCCAAAGTACCCTTGTGATTCAGAATATGAATGGTATTTAAAGGCTTTGAAATCAATAATTGCTGAGTGACATTAATTAATGTCAATATTTCAGAAATTGTTCTGGTTAGTGAAATGTGTACAACATGTAAAAATTTCCGAACTCTGAAGGGCAACATTATTCTATAATTAAGAATTAATTCACATTAATTATTGGGGAGAAATAAATTTAAGAATTAATGACTGAGAAAACGTTTTTATTTTTTATTTAGAAAATTATTTTGTGCATGAGCATTACTGCAAGTTTTGCAAGAAACATAAATTTATAGAAACAATTATGTGCACAAGATGAATTTAATTACATCTTGATATTTTCCACTGTTACAGTTGTATTTGGTAAATCTTTAAATGCCCATCATCTAAAGATCATAAATGAATCTTGGAAATCTTGTAGGTAAGGGTAAATATAAGGATGCATCCAATTACATTTATACACACATACAATTACATTTAAACAAACATACATGCACACACGCTCACTGATAGAGGTATGTATAAATATACATGAATTTACCAATTGATTTTAACTAATATTTATAAGAGCCTGTAGGATTGGTATATATTGTTGAACCTGAAAAATATTTATTATATACATGTTTAAAATACATAAAAAAATAAATAGTAATTACACTAGGCATTTGAAACTGTACTAAAATATAAGCTGTGATCATTACAAATTCTTACACTGAATAAATATTTTTATTTTTATAATAATATGTTTGATACATGTGTACATTTTTTAAAATGTATTATTTTTGTCATAGAGTCATGTCATGCATAATAATCTTTCAGTCAAAGGTGGATTACATATACAAAAGTGGTCCCATGAGATTATAATACATATTTTACATACTTTTCTATGTTTAAGTATGTTTACATACATAAACTCTTACCACTGTGTTCTTATTGCCTGCAGTATTCAGTATAGTAGTGTAGTACACAGGTTTGTAGCCTAGGAGAGAGAGGTTATACCATATAACCTAAACGTGGTAGGCTGTACAAACTAGGTGTTTGTAATATTCTCTCTGACGTTTGCAAAATGATGAAATTGCCTATGGATGCATCTGTTAGAACGTATCCTTGTCATTCAGTGATGCGTGACTGTGCTAAAATGCTAAATCTAAGTTTCAATGACCTCCATAAAATTGTTGTACTCTGAAATACAAATCTCTCACCTACGGCCTGAATATGTTTGCAAACTAAGCAGATCATGGGAAGGAGAATGTGCTGGCATCGCTGGGATGATTTTCTCACACTGCATGAATAATATCTCCAGACTTTGCGAATATGAGCCACTTGCATAGAGTTAAAGTAGGCATCACTTTGCTGGGAAATTTATCAAATGGGAGTATGAAGTGTTTTTAAAAGATACTTGTTTGTTTGTAGACGGTAGGCCTACAGTGGCTCATGGCAATGGTTGAGGTTGCTAAGATTTGGTGGAAGAAGGCAAAATGAAATGGCCACTTATATGGTATATGGATCACTTGTTTCTGTTGAGTTACAGATTCAGCTGGCTATTTCTCCCAATGTTAGTTATTTGGAGAAAAGAAACATGATAGTAATTTTGGGGTAACAAATATAATATTTGATGAAAGCAAATTTATTGAGGGTTAGACAAACTACAAGATAATTTAGGCTGCAAAGTCCACACGAGACTTCTGGCCCAAATTGTGCAGAGTTTGGGTCCAGCTTCAAAGTTCAAAGGAAGAGGCCATATAAGATGATTCACACTTTTGTCACCAACTGCCAGTTCAGGGGTTTCCCCAGAACACTCTCAGTTTCAAGAATTTACTAAAAAGACTCACAGAACTCATTGAATGCCATTGTACTCATGATTTATAATAGAGAAAGGGTAGAAATTACGACCAATCAAAGGAAGACACATATCATATAAGGTGGAATCTAGGAGGATTTTGAATGTTAACTTTCCATTGTCTTCAGGACATATTACCTGTCATTGTTGTACAGCAATAAACATGGAGTACTACCAACCTGGGGAGCTCACCTGATGCTAAAAAGACACTATTTAGAAAATGAAAAGACAAAGGAAAGGAGGAGATAAGATGACCTTCCACATTAAGGCACTGGAAAGTATAGCAAACTAAACCTAAAGCCAGCAGAAGGAAGAAAATAAAAATTAGAGAAATTAATAATTTATAATATTAATCATATTTGTTAGTATTGACTAATTGATATTAATTCTTGACTGACTTTTTTTAAAAAGAGAAATATTCACTTCCCAATTTATTCTGTGGGGCCAGTGTTACCTTGATACAAAAATTAGTCCAAATAGCATAGAAAAATAAAACTACTATAAGTATAAATGCAAAATTCCTTAAAAAATACTATCAAATAAGATTTAGCAACATATAAAAGAAGTATACACTATAACAAAGTGAAATTTATACTAGTAATCTCAGGTTGGTTTAACAGCCCAAAATCCATTAAGGTAATACATCTTATCCATAGAATAAGAAACGAGAATTGCATGATCATCTCGATAGATTCGGAAAAGACATTTAACAAAATCCAAATGCTTTAATGATTAAAAATAAAAATAAAAACTCAATGAGCCAGGAATAGAGAACTTTCTACACCAGATACATGGCACCTGCGAAAAGCCAACAAAAAGCATGCAACTTAATGGTAAAGGATGCTTTCCCGCTATGGTCAGAGATAAGAATAGGATATATAATTTGACCTCTTCTAGTCAACACTGTACTAAAGATTTTATGCAGGGCAAATCGGCAACTAAAAAAAAAGAGTCACCCATATTGAACAGGAAGAAATAAAACTTGATTTGAAAATAACATTCTTGTATATAGAAAATTTTAACGAATCCATTGAGCGATAGAACTAGTAAATTATTTCAGCAATATTACAGCATACAAGATAAATGTACAAAAATCAATTGCACACATCTGCAATGAAAACCCCAAAATGAAATTAAGAAAACACTTCAATTTAAAATAGCATCAAAAAAAGAAATAATAATTAATTTGGAAATTGTGATACAAGATTTTACTCTGAAAATTAAAAATTATTGTTTAAAGAATATCTAAATAATTAGCAAACATCTTCCACCCATGAACTGGAAGATTTAATATTGTAGTACTTTACAAGTTGAACTACAGATTTGAAGTAATCCCTGCAAGTATCCCAACAAACTTCTGTCTAGAAACGGACAAACTGATTCTAAAATACACATGGGATTGTAAGGGACTCAAAATAGCCAAAATAGTCTTGATAAAAGAAAACATATTAGGATAATTCACACCCCCGTGCTCGAAACCTTACGGCAAAGCCTCAGTAATCAAGACAACACAATACTGATGAAGGAAAAATATATAGATTGATGGAAGAGAATTGAGAGTCCATATAGAAAACTATGTATCTATAGTCAATGGATACTTACAGTGGTGCCATGTGCAATTCAATAAGGAAGAGACAGTCTTTGAACAAACTGGGTCAACAACGTACACGTGGATCGCCACTTGCAAAATAGTAAATTGGAACCCTTACCCCAAAGCATACAAAAATATTAACTCAAATCAATTAAAGACAAACATGCAAGAGCTAGAATAAAGCATATGCGAAAATCTTCAGGATTTTGGATCTAGCAAAGAAATAGCTGTAACACCAAAAACATGAGCAACAACATAAAAATTAGATATTTAAAATTTCTTAAAAATTAAAGACATTGGTGTTTCAAAGGACAACCAAGCAAGTCAAAAGGCAGCTCAAAAATTGTGAGAAAATATTTGAGAAACACATATCTATATGTCTGCATATATATGTATTTTGAATATAGAAAAATTGTTTTAACTCAGTAACAAAAATCCCAACTCAAAACTGATAAATGATAGGAATAGATGTGTATCCCAAGAGGATACACGAACGGTCAATAATCCCATAAAAAGATACTCAACAGCATCACTCATCAGGCAACTACAAATCAAAACCACAGTTAGATACTCTATGGCTAGAACTGGCCACTTTGGAAAATAGGTTGATGGCTTCTAAATATATGAAACATAGAATTGTCATATGACCCAGAAATGTATTCCTAGGAATACCCCCAGAGTATTGGAAAGAGGTGTTCAAACACAAATTGTACACAAGTATTTTAACAGCAGTATTTAAAATAGCCAAAGGCTGAACACTACTCAAATGTCAATAAAAATATTATTGGATAAACAAAATGTTATATCCATGAAATTGACTGTTATACAGTTATAAAAATAAATAAAGTACCAATATGCATATGAACCTTGATAGCATTATGCCAACTGAAAGAAGCCAGGCAAAAAAGGCCACCTATTGTATGATTCTATTTAGATGAAAATAGAATAGGAAGATCTACAGAGACAGAAAACAGATTTGTGGTTGCTTAGGATTGAGTAGGGGATGAGTGCATAGGAGGTTAACAGCTAGAGAAGGTGGGGTTTCTTTTTGAAGTGATGAAAATGTTCTAAAATTCATTGTGATGATGGCTCCACTTATCTGTGTATATACTAAAAGCCATTGACTTGTAGACATTAATATGTGCACTCTATAGTATGTAAATTATATTTCAATAAATCCTTTCAAAAATACACAGAAGACTAAGGGGTTTTGGACTGTTGCAGCTGGGAGGCAGTTTGAAATACTGAATAGGTCTCATCGAGAATGTGAGGTTTCAGTAAAGACTTGAGGAAGTTGAATGAGCTGATCAATGCATATATGGAAGGTTATCTTTCAAAGCCAAGAAATTAACTAGAGTCTTGGTCATAAGACAGCAGCATGTTGGCATGTCCAGAGGACAGTGAGGTGGCCAGGACCACTGGTAAGATCAAGGGTGAAGACATAAAAGAATTTTGGTGGTTAACATGCGGCAGATCACGATGGGCTTGCAGATCATTGTAAGAATTGTCTTTTAGTGTAAATGAAATGGGGAGACAAATCATTATCCCATTATCAATATTTTAAGAAATTGGATCCATGAACCAAATCCAATGAGATTAAATCAATTAGTAATTATATGCAAATTTGTATTAAAATTACAAGATTCCTTGCACATTTGAGAACAGGAGAGTCATGATTGTTTATCAGCAATAATAAACTATTAATTTTAATTGTCATCAGCTAATTGAGATTAATTGCAATACATCATGCTTTATAATGTGACTGTCAAAAGGAAAATATGATTGTAATCTTATACTACATCTATCAATGTCTTTGATTCATAAGACTATAGAATAAGCCCCTAGTTTTCAAAGCCAACTGATGAGGCAGCAACATCTTATGCAAGTTTGCTGCTTTCTGCCACAGTGATCCTTGGTCAGCTGGCACAAATTGTTTTACAAACACCACTAGGTCTAAAAAACTTTTGGATCACAATGAACACAGAAACACCTTCATCCCTTCAAAAATACCTATCAATTAGTTCCAATACAGAATGAAAAATTGACAACGGAAGTATGTTGATTGTAAAAATGCCAGATAGCTTGCATCTACATGAAAGAAAAATGCCATTTTTATTACAATAGATCATTGTTTTACATGAGTTTTGGTATAGCACAATGTTGAACCAAGGGCAAAGAGAGATGAATTAATGAAGTCTTAAGATATCAAGAATTTGAAAGAAAAGGCAGGTCATCTTTGAAGGTTAGTGACATAGCATTCATGTTCTGTTGTCACCTTTTCCGTCATTCCCTGTATGCCTGATGGACCACTTTCACTCAATTTCAGAGAACAGCATGCAAAGATTAGCTACCAACTAATTTTTATGAAGTGATCTTAATTTCTAGCCAGACGGAGCTTATGTTTTAGCAGGAAGCATTTTTGGGAAATGTTTATGTTAGAGTTTGCCGTTCTTGACAAGGTGAGACATAAATGTCTACTTTATAGACATGAATTAAGATGGGAAGATATTTGGGGGAAACATTTTCTCAAATGCTAAATAACAAAGGTACACAAAGGGGAAATTATACTAGATTTATTTCCCACTTGTTTTCTATGTCTCATCCAATTCATCTTGATTCCCTTCAGTTTCTGTTTTATGTAGAAAGTGGCATTTTCATTATTTTAAGCTTCTAGCACAATGAAAGAATTTCTCTTTTTCATGAACTGCATCATAAATGAAAGGGAGGAAGAGTGTCCAATATCATATTTATTGTTCAACAAAACACTGCTCCACTGCTTAAATTCAGTTTAAAAAAGAGAATTTATTGAACATCTAACACATACATAAAAGGCAGTAAAGACAAATGAGAAGAGTGCAGGATATTGAATTATACAGACTTTAATGCTGAGTTTTGTATCTTAGTAAGTTACTGCACCTTACAGAGACTCAATTTCCCCTGATTTAGGAAGGCGATGCTAATGGGTATTGCATAGGTGTAAGTATAAAATGTTGTATTTAAGAGAATCCCACAATCTTGGTATAAGGCAGAAAATAAATAGATGTGACATTAATGAGTAGTTTACTACATTTGTATGCTACCTGCAGACTAGAGGAAGCAAGAAACACAGCCACTATGCTTGATTAGCATTATATTCTAATTTGGAATATAAATAGGAAAGAGAAAAATAGAAAGCTATGCATAAACACATGCATTAAAATGAATTTTATGTGGACTCTTTCAGGAAAATGTTCCTAAGGTATTTTATTTTTTTATTGTGGTAAAATACACATAACATAAAATGTACTCTGTTAACCATTTTAAGTGTACAGTTCAGTGGTACTAAATAGAGTCATAACATTGTGCAGCCATCACTACCATCCATCTCCATAACTCGTTTCAACTTGTGAAACTGAAACTCTATACCCATTAAACAGTACTTCCCCATGTCTTCCTCTCCCCAGCTTCTGGCAATCATCATTGTAGTATCTCTGTGATTCTGTCCCTTTTAAGTCTCTTATACAAATGGAATTATACTGTATTTGTCCTTCACTGACTAACTTATTTCACTTGGCATAATATCCTCAAGTTTCATCCAAGTTGCAACATATGTCAGAATATTTCCCTCATGTTTAAGGCTGAATAATTTTCCATTGTATGTATATATCATGTTTTGCTTATCCATTCATCTGTTGTTGGACACTTCAATTGCTTCTACGTTTTAGCTCTTGCCAATAATGCTGCTGCAAACATGGATGTGCAAATATTTTTTCAAGACTCTGTTTTCAATTCTTTTGCTATCTTGAGATATGGGGCTGCCGAATCATAAGGCAATACCATTTTGATGTTTTGAGGAACTACTATACTCTTTTCCACAGCAAACATAGGGTTTGGCATTCCCTCCAATATTGCAAAAGGAATCGACACATCCCTGTCTGTGGATTTTATTCACAAGTCCTGTGGCTCTCTCTACATCCCGGCCACCATGTGTTATTTCCTGTTTATATATATGACATCAAAGGTGCAGGAAGTAATGAACTAAATTGGAAGGATAAACATGTAGAAAAATAGAGGTAAATACTGACTACATAAAACCACAAGAATAAGAATTTTGGATGATCTATCTATTGTATATCTATTTATCTAACATCTATCTGTTCCTCCATCTGTAATTAAAATATATTACAGTTAGAGAAGAGAAAAAAGTAGGAATACATGAATTTAAATTTTAATTCTTCTTGATTGTCTCACAGCATCATTATATGACAGAAAATTTATAGGTCAGTATCTGTTAACTATAAATGTAACATTTTTAAAGTATTCAAATACATTGAATTACAGCATGAATAACATATTACAATCCATTCAAGTTTATTTTATTCCAGGAACACAAAAATACAAATTTCATTTGCAATTCAAGAAAAACAGAAATCGATACATATGATTGATGTATATACACATTTAATGTATTTTTAAATATACATTTTTTAAAAATAAAATTTTTCTAGGACAACTACTTAAAATATCACTGAAAATAGTGTTATTAGATAATACCTTCCTAATAACTCTGGTATTACATAAGAAAACAAAATTAAAATTTCAGAGAAGCTTAGAAACTAAAAATTTTAAAAATATTATTCTGTTATCCATATGTTCATATTTAATATTATTTCTTGTTTTCATTCTTCTTCAGTGTTGCTCTACTAAAATATAACATATAATAGTTACTTTTGATTTCTGTTCTTATTACTCAAAATTGTATACATTTTCTCATGCTCTTAATTTAGCTATGCTACTTTCCTTTACTCCTGGAATTTTCACATTTGTGTTCACTCTCTTTTGAGTTCCCATAGTATCAAATAAGCTTTTTGCCCTCTTTCTGATTTGAAGGTTCATCTTCTCATAATTATTTTGTCCACTCAGTTTCTTTTCATTCTCAGTTAAGTGCCTCTCATCTGGCTTCTTTTCATTTGTAAGGTTTCCTTTCATCTTAAGCCAGTCTTTTATTTATATTTTGATTCTGTTTTTTGGAGGACATGCTTCCCTGAATTTTAAGGAAGAGGCCAAAAGGTTTGTACTAGTTACTATAACCATTATTTTGAGCTTCATGTAAATCAAGAACACATGGACTCCACTTGCAAAACATTGAAAATGTAGTTAGGGATTGGGGGCACAAAGCAACATTGTAAAATGTGTAAAGACAATGAGTAAGCAACACAGTGTCCAATTTTTTAGGCGAAAGTTGCATACGTCAGGAAAAGGCAGGATTAAGTAACAGAATTTGAATGATAACTGGCCAATTGCTGTCGTTTACAATTGCAAGACATGCAAATTAAGTTTGCTTTTTTAAAGAGAAAAGGAGTTAGTTAGAATGGGTCAACCTATTGGGGAAGCAATGTATTTAGAGACAATGCCCAAAACCATGTGAGCGAATGCTCTGTAGAGCGCACCCCTGCAATGCTGCCATTGTGAGGCCAAGTCTCTCCTTGTCTTGGTACTGAGCCCTCTATTCTGCCTCCATCATTGCCACTG
Source organism: Homo sapiens (assembly GCF_000001405.40). NCBI lineage: Eukaryota > Metazoa > Chordata > Mammalia > Primates > Hominidae > Homo > Homo sapiens. The sequence goes on from NC_000007.14 coordinate 60,952,937, forward strand.
TAGTTGCCACAGAATGATCCCTCAACCACCGCTGTCCAGGAACAAAGAAAGAATTCTGCCCTTCCGCGCTCTCAGATCAATTTCCAACATCAGGTGAGACTTTGATGGGCACTATTCAGTTCCCATATCCCTGAAATAGATGCAGTAAAAACATAGAAACTGCCTATGTGTTTCCCAATAAGACACATATGGAAGCCTGTTTTCCCACAACAGGAAGGGGTTTCCACGATGGGTGCTCAAAGGAACAATATTCCCTGTAAACCATACTTTGCCCATATGAAGAAGAGCAATAAGGATTATTTAGTAAATAGACATGGAAACTCATCCAAGGTTGGCTGATGAGAAGCTGGTTAGGAAGGGGTTATGCCTTCAGTTAGGACAAGGTCTGTGCTTCCCACGGGTTCTCTACACAGCAGGAGGGATGCAAACTTCCCTTTCCTCCCCTGCACCTACCCTCAAATGGCCCAGAGGTCTTCAGGAGCTAGAATTTCTCATTTAATGCTGCACAAAATAACAGACAGCCTTGACTGTCACTGTCTGTTCTCATGAAGCTAGTCTCTGCTTACTACATAAAACAGAAGAGTAAGAACAAGGGTGTTAAACACTACCCTAGCTCAAGTTTCTCTCTGTAGGATGCCAAGAACCTGGGAACCAGTGCATCTGCTGCTTTCCCTTCTCGGATTCTAGCCCAGACAAAAGAGGCAAGGGGCATTTCTTCAGAGGCCTTGAGCTTCACTACACAATGACCCAGGCTCTACATGCACCCTCTTTATATATTTCTACCTCGAAAAAAATTTTATATAATATTAATAATATATATTTTTATATAAGGAACACATATGTTTATTTTATAGATAGATATAGATATACATAGATAAAGATCTCTAGTCTGCCTTTTTTAAGGCTGGGCTGATCGCGGTGCCCCAAAACTATAATCCCAGCACTTTGGGAGGCCAAGGTGGCCAGATCTCTTGAGTCCAGGAGATGGAGATCAGCCAGGGCAACATGGTGAAACCCCATCTTTACAAAAATTAGCTAGTATGGTGTCATGCACTTGCAGTCCCTGCTACTCAGGAGACTGAGGTGGGAGAATCGCTTGAGCACAGTATGTGAAAGCTTCAGTGAGCTCTGATCACATGACTGCACTCCCTCTTGGGTGACAAAGTGAGACCCTCTCTCAAAATAAAATAAAATAAAAAGGCTACCACCATACTCACAGATAAGTGTGTCAGGTATATTTGCAGCTATCTTTCCTATATTCTATTTGGTAAAAAAAAAAAATTGCAAAGAACTCTTCTCATTCTAGATTTTTGTATTAATTAGACATTTGAAGTTTACAGCAGAAGAGCGATAATCATGTTTGGTATGTGTACTCTATAGACTAGATAGTGCAAACATATATCAATGCTTTTTAAAAGTACATAAGGTTATTAGAAATATGTTAAACTACCTATAGGTATATATGCATCTAATTGAACTATCAAATGCAAGTAAGATCATTTCCTTAGCGTGAGAAATGCACTCAATTTATTAAAATATTTTTTAATGTCTATTACAATAATATTTCTTAATTAGCTAACATAAGAGAAGTTTTAAGACATTTATTTATATGCACTTACTATATTCAAACTCGATTCCACTATTTTCAGAAATCATGCTCCGAGACAAGTCCTTTTTTTATCTAACTATGTTTCTACCTATATTAAAAGACAGATATGTCAATTTTGCTAATCATGCTGTTCCAAACCTCTCCATCCTATTTTTTGGTTTGTTCTATCAGTCATTCAGAGACTTACTTATATTCACATTTCTCTCTAGGTTTAACATTTGTGTATGTCTTCTTGTGTTTTTGTCTATTTTTGCTGTATATAATTTAAGACATTTATTGACATATATCATACATGCAGAAAAGTACAATGATTAAATATGGATAGCTTCATTAATGAAACACATGTATTTGCTTATAACCATGTATGAAAATAGAACATTACTAAAAATAGAGATACTTCTCCTGCCCCTTTCCAAACACTAACCCTCATCCTCAATAGTAACAGATTTTTTTTTATCATAGAGTAATTTGGTCTATTTTCAAATTTTTATTAAATAAATCAGAGTATCTACTCTAAGTCTATGTTTCTTTCACTGTTGTTATTTTGCTTATAGTATTTATCTGCTAATGGACATGGTAGATTAAAGATGGCTACATACACATTTTTTAATTAATAGATTTTTTTGAGCACTTTGTGGCTCATGCCTCTAATCCCACCACTTTGGGAGGCTGAGGTGCATGGATCATGAGGTCAGGAGATCGAGACCATCCTGGCCAACGTGGTAAAACCCCTTCTCTACTAAAATACAAAAAATTAGCTGATGGATAACATCAAGATAACATGTGGGTTCTTAGCTGCACTGAGTCAAGCCTACTTACATCTTTGTTTGTCTTCCTCTGCACTTTTCCTTCCACATCACACTCCAGGAATGCCAAGCTGTTCTGGCCTTCTACCCCATTTCCACTATTTTGCCCCCGCTGACGTGGCTTTTTGCCGCCGTGGATTTTTGACCCCGCCGCTGTGGGTTTTTGTGGCTTTCTGCCCCCAGCCTCGCGGAATTTAGCCCCTCCCGCCGCGGCTTTTTGGGGCTCTTTGCCCTCGCTGCCACGGCTTTTTGCCGCCGCAGCTTTTGGCGTCTTTCTCCCCTCGCCGCCGCGGCTTTTTGCCCCCGAAGCCATGGCTGTTTGCCCTCGCCGCCGCGGCTTTTTGCGGCTTTTTTCTCCCTGCTGCCGCAGCTTTTTGTCCCCGCCACCGTGATTTTTTTTTTCCGCCGCGGCTGTTTGTCACCGCCGCCGTGGCTTTTTATGGCTTTTGGCCCCCGGCGCCGCGGCTTTGTACTGCTTTTCACCCCCGCCGCCGCAGGTTTTTCCCGCCGTGGCTTCTTGCCCCGCCGCCGAGGCTTTTTGCGGCTTTTTGCCGACGCGGCTTGTGGCCCCCGCCACCGCAGCTTTTTACACCTTTTCGCCCCTGCCGCCGCGGCTTTTTCCCCCCGCCGCCTCAGGTTTTTCCTGCCGCGGCTTCTTGCCCCCACTGCCTGGGCTTTTTGCAGCTTTTTGCCTCCGCCACCGCGGCTTTTTGTCCCAGCCCCCGCGGCTCCTTGCCCCCTACGCGGCTTCCTGCCCCCACCGCCATGGCTTTTTATCACCCCAGCCGCTTTTTGACCCCGCCGCCACGAGTTTTTGCCCCTGCCGCCAAAGGTTTTTGCGGCTTCAGGTCCCCGCCGTAGTGGCTTTTTGCCGACCCTGCTTTTTGCCCCCTCTGCCGCGGCTTTTTGCTGCTTTTTACCCCCTCCGCCACGGCTTTTTACGGCTTTTGGCACCAGACACCGCGGCTTTTTGAGGCTTTTTGGCCCCGCCGCCGCGGCTTTTTGCCGCCGCCGCACCGTTTTGCCCCCGCCGCGCCTTTTTGCCACTGCCGCCATATCTTTTTGCCGCCGTGGCTTCTTACCCCGCCACCGCGGCTTTTTGCCCCCGCCGTCGCGGCTTTCTGCCCCCGACGCTGAGGCTTTTTAAGGCTTTTTGCTCTCGTCACCGCAGCTTTTTGCCCCTGCCGCCGCGGCTTTTTGCCCCCGCCACCGCAGCTTTTTGTCGCTGTGGCTTGTTGCCCCCACCGCCCTGGCTTGTTGCCCCCGTCGCCCCAGCTTTTCCCCCCACCCCCCCGGCTTTTTGACCCCACCGTTGCGGCTTTTTGCACCCGCCGCCGAGGCTTTTTGTGGCTTTTTGCCCCCGCGGCCGCGGCTTTTTGCCCCCATCACCGCGGCTTTTTCCCAGCCGCCGCGGCTTTTTGCCGACGTGGCTTTTTACTCCCGCCGCCACAGGTTTTTACCGCTGCGGCTTTTTCACCCCGCCATCGCGGGTATTTGTCCCCATCGCCGCGGCTTTTTGCCCCCACCGCCGTGGGTCTGAGGGCGGGATCGGCAGACTTGGCTGCCAGATCTACCGGCGTCCTGGCTAAGGCGGGGCCGAGGGTCACTCCTGGTCCAGCTCTCCCGGTTCGGGGGTTCCTTGCCTAGACACACGCGCCCCAGGCTCTGTTCCTGGGCTGCTGCAGCCTGCATAGAGCGGTGCTGCGCTCAGCCCCGTTGGGAGAAAAGAAGGAGAGCTGTGGCGGGGGTGACGCGGCTATCGCGGAGGGAGGCACAGGGGCCGCAGCCAGCCGGGTGCTACAGCAGTGCCGGCAGCTCCAGAAGCTCATCGGCATCTCCGTTGGCAGCCTGCGCGGGCTGCGCACCAAGTGCGCTGTGTCCAAGGACCTCACCAGCAGGAGATATGGACCCTGCAGGTAAGGGGGTCGGGGACCAGGGCTGGGCTCCAGCAACGGACTGGACATCTCCCTCGGGGCCCCAGTTCACTCCTGGCCGAGTTGCATCCTTGAGCCCGCATCGGCCCTTTGGAGGCTTCTCCTCCCTCCTGCACTCGCTGATGCGGCAGTCGGAGCACCCGGGACCAGCCCTCAGCTTGGGCAGGATTTGCGGGGCGGGTGCGTGTTGGGAACTGTGATAGAGGCTCGAGGGGCCCGTGGGCGGGGTGGGCTGCGTGCGGACATCCCCTTACGCCCCGAATTTCCATCTGGTGCAGCCTTCTCATCTTGTAGGTGAGGAAACCAAAGGCCTGAGGGAGAAATGACTTGCCAGGAACCCCTGTTAAGGAGAATTAACAAAGTGTGGTTATCAAAGGAGAACTGAGTTAGGATTCAGACCTGGAGTCCCACACCCTTGGTTAAGACATTATACCACCTTGAGTCTGGCCTGTTGACTGAGGGTGAGCCACTCCATCCTCATCTGATTGTGGGGTCTTGACCTCAAGGGGTTTCCTGCAGGAAGAAGCAAATGGGTTTGCTTTACTAGATCTGTCCAGTACCTAACGGACCCTGAGGACTGAAGAGATTCTTGGACAGCCATCTGGTGTATGTGATGGGTGGGCCTTTTTTGAAGGTCAGTCTGCCGAGTGGGCTGGCTCAGCCTGAATGAACTGTCTTGAATCTTTGGAGATGTCTGTGTACTTTTAAGGGTTTCTTATCCTTGCACCAAGAGATGCCCTGGAAATTAGGTGGGAAAACCTTAATTTTTGTGGAGCCTTGTATTTGTCTTAAAAGTTCATGCACATAGCCAGGTGTGGTGGCTCACGCCTGTTATCCTGTCCTGGATCCCTTGAGTCAAGGAGTTTGAGACCAACCTGGACAATATAATGAGACCCCATCTCTACAAAAAATAAAATATTAGCCAAGAGTGATTATGTGCATCTGTAGTCCTAGCTACTACTGTGGCTGAGGTGGGAGGAGCACTTGAGCCTGCACTGAGCTGTGATCTCACCAGTGTATTCCAGCCTGGGCCACAGAACAACACCTTGACTCAAAAAAAAAAAAAAACCAACAAGAAAAATTCTTGAAGATTTTGCATTCTGTCCCACTATCCATTGGTTTTCATGTCAAGATAATGTCAGAAATTCTTTACAATTGCTTCCAGAAGGAGTAGCCTTTTGATCTAGTGCACAGGTGTCCAGTCTTTTGGCTTCTCAGGGCCACATTGGAAGAAGAATGCTCCTGAGCCACAGATAAAATACACTATCGCTAATGATAGCAGATGAGCTAAAAAAAAAAAAAAGGTTTGTGCATAATTTTCATGATACCCACCACCACAGATGGGGGAAAAGTCCTTGTAGTCAAAGGGTTGGACAGGGCTGATCTAGTGTCTTGTCGTCCGTTTTGGCTTTCTCCCTGACTCCAGAATGCAGGTAGAGATGTAGAGACACGCTCTCAGGACAGCTGTTGAGATAAAAAAAAATTCGTTGTCATTTATTCCCAAGGACAGCTGTTTGCCATTTGCATTGAAAAAGTCTCCATTCAAACTGCTGTCACATATAAAGTCTATTTATATGTCTGTATTTATATGTTGTCTTGGCCTTTGTGGGCAGTAGTGTGTTTTAACCGAGCAAACTGTCCTTCCAAATAATGAAGCCGAAGTCAGCCTACCTGCTTGCCATTTTTCTTCACCTTCCATTTTTCTAACCCCAGGATAATTGTAAGAATGAATTAAGATTTGTGTTTAAGTCCGGGCACAGTGTCTCAGGCCTGTAATCTCAGCACTTTGGGAGGCAGAGATGGATGTATCGTTTGATCTCAGGAGTTGAAGAATAGCCTGGGCCACATACTGAGACTCCGTCTTGTATAATTAAATTAAAATTTAAAAAAAGGAGAGAAAAGGACCTGTGTTTAAAATTTTAAAAAAGGAGGGAAGGTGTAATGCAAAATGTGGACTCTGCTAGCTGTGATTGGGAAAAATAATTTTTCATACAGCATTATCTGTTGACTTGTATTAGCAGCACACTGGTCATAAGCGTTTTGCTTTCCTCAAATATGATGAGGTAAGCTAATTTAACGTGTGGTGGGGCTTTCTTCCACATGGCTCCTGGAGGTGTTGAGTCCCAATTTAGCCAATTAATTAGGGTTTAGTTTTGATATGGATAAGGGAGACCGTCTTCATTCATGATGCACACACAGTTTTGCCAGTAAGGAAAAAAAAAGCAACCTGAATGTTCCTACTCATTAGATGCTATCTGGAGAGCTTCTACCCCACCGCCACGAAGGCCCTGGCCCTTAAAAAGACTCAATGCAGCCTTTCTGCATCTCATACTGTATTCTACAAGATGCTCCTGTGAAAGAAAGTTGTGCTGCATCAGCCATCTCACTCCTGAAGATCCCTGCGGATGAGGATTTGTGTTTTAAAGGTTCTCAGAAGTCCTGCAACAACAGTTCTCAAACTTATTTGTCCAGGGGATCTTTTCTTCCACTGAACATAGTTGGGGAGACACAGCCTTAAGCCTTGAGCAGAGAAAGAGACTAGAAACTGTTGGCTCACTTACAACCAAGTGTTGTGTTTATGTTTTAGGTGTTTATGAAACTGAGGTGGTGTTTGAGGTTCTGAATCAAATTGGGTGGTTGAAGAGAGGCTGTTATCCCTGTAGACTTCGCCAGCTATGAGAGGTTGAGTTCTGTTGAAGGAAGTGTTTTACAAAGGGAAATGGGGTGTTTCCTGGGCATCACATTAGCACTTAAATTCATGTATCACTGAAATGAAATGAAATGATGAAATGATGACATGAAATGAAATGAAATGATGAAACGAAATGATGAAATGATGAAATGAAATGAAATGAAATGTTAAAACGATGAAATGAAATGAAATGATGAGATGAAATGAAGTGGTGAAATGATGAAATGAAACACTGAAATGAAATGAAATGATGAAATGAAATGATGAGATGAAATGAAACGATGAAATGGTGAAATGGAATGATGAAATGAAATGATGAAATGATGAAATGAAATGGTGCAATGAAATGAGGAAATGAAATGAAATGCTGAAATGAAATGATGAATTGAAATAGTGAAATGAAATGAAATTATGAAATGATGAAATGAAGAAATGGTATGAAATGATGAAATGAAATGATGAAATGAAGTGAAATGATGAAATGATGAAATAATGAAATAAGGGGTGGAGCCAAGATGGCCGAATAGGAACAGCTCCGGTCTACAGCTCCCAGCATGAGCGATGCAAAAGATGGGTGATTTCTGCATTTCCATCTGAGGTACCGGGTTCATCTCACTAAGGGAGTGCCAAACAGTGGGTGCAGGACAGTGGGTGCAGCCCACCGTGTGGGATCCGAAGCAGGGTGAGGCATTGCCTCACTCAGGAAGCACAAGGGGTCAGGAAGTTCCCTTTCCTAGTCAAAGAATGGGGTGACAGATGGCACCTGGAAAATTGGGTCACTCTCACCCTAATACTGCACTTTTCCAACAGGCTTGGAAAATGGCACACCAGGAGATTGTGTCCTGCACCTGGCTCAGAGGGTCTTATGCCAATGGAGTCTTGCTGATTGCTAGCACGGCTCTCTGAGATCAAACTGCAAGGCGGCAGCGAGGCTGGGGGAGTGGGGCCCGCCATTGCCCTGGCTTTCTTAGGTAAACAAAGCAGCCAAGCAGCTGGAACTGGGTGGAACCCACAACAGCTCCAGGAGGCCTGCCTGCCTCTATAGGCTCCACCTCTAGGGGCAGGGCATAGACACACAAAAAGTCAGCAGTAACCTCTGCAGACTTAAATGTCCGTGTCTGACAGTTTGAAGACAGTAGTGGTTCTCCCAGCACGCAACTGGAGATCTGAGACTGGGCAGACTGCCTCCTAAAGTGGGTCACTGAACCCCGAGCAGCCTAACTGGGAGGCACCCCCCTGTAGGGACAGACTGACACCTCACTCGGCCGGGTAGTCCTCTGAGACCAAACTTCCAGAGGAATGATCAGACAGCTGAATTTGTGGTTCACGAAAATCCGCTGTTCTGCAGCCACCGCTGCTGATACCCAAGCAAAGAGGGTCTGGCGTGGACCTCTAGTAGACTCCAACAGACCTGAAGCTGAGGGTCCTGTCTATTAGAAGGAAAACTAACAAACAGAAAGGACACCCACACCAAAAACCCATCTGTACATCACCATCATCAAAGACCAAAAGTTGATAAAATGACAAAGATGGGGAGAAAACAGAACAGAAAAACTGGAAACTCTAAAAAGCAGAGTTCCTCTCCTTCTCCAAAGGAATGCAGTTCCACACCAGCAATGGAATAAAACTGAACAGAGAATAACTTTGACGATTTCAGAGAAGAAGGCTTCAGATGATCAAACTACTGCGAGATACAGGAGGAAATTCAAACCAATAGCAAAGAAGTTAAAAACATTGAAAAACAATTAGACGAATGTATAACTGGAATAACCAATGCAGAGAAATGCTTAAGGGATCTGATGGAGCTGAAAGCCAAGTTTCGAGAAGTACGTGAAGAAGGCAGAAGCCTCAGGAGCCAATGCAATCAACTGGAAGAAAGGGTATCAGTGATGGAAGATGAAATGAATGAAACGAATGGAGAAGGGAAGTTTAGAGAAAAAAGAATAAAAAGAAACGAACAAAGCCTCCAGGAATTATGGGACTCTGTGAAAAGAACAAACCTACGTCTGATTGCTGTACCTGAAAGTGATGGGGAGAATGGAACTAAGTTGGAAAACACTCTTCAAGATATTATCCAGGAGGACTTACCCAATCTAGCAAGGCAGGCCAACATTCAGATTCAGGAAACACAGAGAACGCCAGAAAGATACTCCTCAAGAAGATAAACTCCAAGACACATAACTGTCAAATTCACCAAAGTTGAAATGAAGGAAAAAATGTTAAGGGCAGCCAGAGAGAAGGGTCAGGTTACCCACAAAGGAAGCCCATCAGAATAACAGCTGAACTCTCGGCAGAAACTCTTCAAGCCAGAAGAGAGTGGAGGCCAATATTCAACATTCTTAAAGAAAATAATTTTCAACCCAGAATTTCATATCCAGCCAAACTAAGCTTCATAAGTGAAGGAGAAATAAAATCCTTTACAGACAAGCAAATGCTGAGAGATTTGCTTGCCCTAAAAGAGCTCCTGAAGGAAGCACTAAACATGGAAAGGAATAACTGGTACCAGCCACTGCAAAAACATGCCAAATTGTAAAGACAATTGTGACTAGAAAGAAACCGCATCAACTAACGAGCAAAATAACCAGCTAACATCATAATGACAGGATCAAATTCACACATAACAATATTAACTTTAAATGTAAATGGGCTAAATGCTCCAATTAAAAGATGCAGACTGGCAAATTGGATAAGGAGACAAGACCCATCAGTGTGCTGTATTCAGGAAACCCATCTCACGTGCAGAGACACATATAGACTCAAAATAAAGGGATGGAGGAAGGTCTACCAAGCAAATGGAAAACAAAAAAAGGCAGGGGTTGCAATCCTAGTATGTGATAAAATAGACTTTAAACCAACAAAGATCAAAAGAGACAAAGAAAGCCTTTACATAATGGTAAAGGGATCAATTCAACAAGAAGAGCTAACTATCCTAAATATATATGCACCCAATGCAGGAGCACCCAGATTCATAAAGCAAGTCCTGAGTGACCTACAAAGAGACTTAGACTCCCCCACAATCATAATGGGAGATTTTAACACACCACTGTCAACATTAGACAGATCAACGAGACAGAAAGTTAGCAAGACCACCCAGGTATTGAACTCAGCTCTGCACCAAGTGCACCTAATAGACATCTACGGAACTCTCCACCCCAAATCAACAGAACATACATTTTTTTCAGCACCACACCACACCCATTCCAAACTTGAGCACATAGTTGGAAGTAAAGCTCTCCTCAGCAAAGGTAAAAGAACAGAAATTATAACAAACTGTCTCTAAGACCACAGTGCAATCAATCTAGAACTCAGGATTAAGAAACTCACTGAAAACCGCTCAACTACATGGAAAACGAACAACCTGCTCCGGAATGACCACGGGGTACATAACAAAACGAAGGCAGAAATAAAGATGTTCTTTGAAACCAACGAGGACAAAGACAAAACATACCAGAATCTCTGGGACACACTCAAAGCAGTGTGTAGAGGGAAATTTATAGCACTAAATGCCCACAAGAGAAAGCAGGAAAGATCCAAAATTGACACCCTAACATCACAATTAAAAGAACTTGAAAAGCAAGAGCAAACACATTCAAAAGCTAGCAGAAGGCAAGAAATAACTAAAATCGGAGCAGAACTGAAGGAAATAGAGACACAAAAAAACCCTTCAAAAAATTAATGAATCCAGTAGCTGGTTTTTTGAAAAGATCAACAAAATTGATAGACCACTAGCAAGACTAATAAAGAAGAAAAGAGAGAAGAATCAAATAGATGCAACCAAAAATGATAAAGGGGTTATCACCACCGATCCCACAGAAATAAAATCTACCATCACAGAAAACTACAAACACCTCTATGCAAATAAACTAGAAAATCTAGAAGAAATGGATAAATTCCTCAACACATACACTCTCCCAAGACTAAACCAGGAAGAAGTTGAATCTCTGAATAGACCAATAACAGGATCTGAAATTGTGGCAATAATCAATAGCTTACCAACTAAAAAGAGTCCAGGAGCAGATGGATTCACAGCAGAATTCTAACAGACGTACAAGGAGGAACTGGTACCATTCCTTCTGAAAGTATTCCAATCAATAGAAAAAGAGGGATTCCTTTCTAACTAATTTTATGAGGCCAGCATCATCCTGATACCAAAGCCGGGCAGAGACACAACAAAAAAAGAGAATTTTAGACCAATATCCTTCATGAACATTGATGCAAACATCCTCAATAAAATACTGGCAAAATGAATCCAGCAGCACATCAAAAAACTTATCCACCATGATCAAGTGGGCTTCATCCCTGGGATGCAAGGCTGGTTCAACATATGCAAATCAATAAATGTAATCCAGCATATAAACCTAACCAAAGACAAAAACCACATGATTATCTCAATAGATGAAGAAAAGACCTTTGACAAAATTCAACAGCCCTTCATGCTAAACGTTCTCAATAAATTAGGTATTGATGGGACGTATCTCAAAATAATAAGAGCTATCTATGACAAACCCACAGCCAATATCATACTGAATGGGCAAAAACTGGAAGCATTCCTGTTGAAAACTGGCACACGACAGGGATGTCCTCTCTCACCACTCCTATTCAACATAGTGATGGAAGTTCTGGCCAGGGCAATCAGGCAGGAGAAGGAAACAAACTGTATTCAATTAGGAAAAGAGGAAGTCAAATTGTCCCCATTTGCAGATGACATGGTTGTATATCTAGAAAACCCCATTGTCTCAGCCCAAAATCTCCTTAAGCTGATAAGCAACCTCAGCAAAGTCTCAAGATACAAAATCAATGTATAAAAATCACAAGCATTCTTGTACACCAATAACAGACAAACAGAGAGCCAAATCATGAGTGAACTCCCATTCACAATTGCTTCAAAGAGAATAAAATACCTAGGAACCCAACTTACAAGGGACATGAAGGACATCTTCAAGGAGAACTGCAAACCACTGCTCAATGAAATAAAAGAGGATACAAAGAAATGGAAGAACATTCCATGCTCTTGGGTTGGAAGAATCAATATCGTGAAAATGGCCATACTGCGCAAGGTAATTTATAGATTCAATGCCATCCCCATCAAGCTACCAATGACTTTCTTCACAGAATTGGAAAAAACGACTTTAAAGTACATATGGAATCAAAAAAGAGCCCGCATCGCCAAGTCAATCATAAGCCAAAAGAACAAAGCTGGAGGCATCATGCTACCTGACTTCAAACTATACTACAAGGCTACAGTAACCAAAACAGCATGTTACTGGTACCAAAACACAGACGTAGATCAATGGAACAGGACAGAGCCCTCAGAAATAATGCCACATAGCTAAAACTGTCTGATCTTTGACAAACTTGACAAAAACAAGCAATGGGGAAAGGATTCCCTATTTAATAAATGGTGCTGGGAAAACTGGCTAGCCATATGTAGAAAGCAGAAACTGGATCCCTTCCTTACACCTTATACAAAAATTAATTCAAGTTGGATCAAAGACTTACATGTTAGAACTAAAATCATAAAAACCCTAGAAGAAAACCTAGGCAATACCATTCAGGACATAGGCCTGGGCAAGGACTTCATGTCTAAAACACCAAAAGCAATGAGAACAAAAGCCAAAATTGACAAAGGGGATCTAATTAAACTAAAGAGCTTCTGCACAGCAAAAGAAACTATCATCAGAGTGAACAGGCAACCTACAAAATGGGAGAAAATTTTTGCAACCTACTCATCTGACAAAGGGCTAATAACCAGAATCTACAATGAACTCAAACAAATTTACAAGTAAAACACAAACAACCCCATCAAAAAGTGGGTGAAGGACACGAACAGACACTTCTCAAAAGAAGACATTTATGCAGCCAAAAAACACATGAAAAAATGCTCATCATCTCTGGCCATCAGAGAAATGCAAATCAAAACCACAATGAGATACCATCTCACACCAGTTAGAATGGCGATCATTAAAAAGTCAGGAAACGGCAGGTGCTGGAGAGGATGTGGAGAAATAGGAACACTTTTACACTGTTGGTGGGACGGTAAACTAGTTCAACCTTTGTGAAAATCAGTGTGGCGATTCCTCAAGTATCTAGAACTAGAAATACCATGTGACCCAGCCATTTCATTACTGGGTATATACACAAAGGACTATAAATCATGCTGCAATAAAGACACATGCACACGTATGTTTATTGCGGCACTATTCACAATAGCAAAGACTTGGAACCATCCCAAATGTCCAACAACGATAGACTGGATTAAGAAAATGTGGCACATATACACCATGGAGTACTATACAGCCACAAAAAATGATGAGTTCGTGTCCTATGTAGGGACATGGATGAAACTGGAAATCATCATTCTCAGTAAACTATCGCAAGAACAAAAAACCAAACACCACATGTTATCATTCATAGGTGGGTATTGAACAATGAGAACACATGGACACAGGAAGGGGAACATCACACTTCGGGGACTGTTGTGGGGTGGGGTGAGTGGAGAGGGATAGCATTAGGAGATATACCTAATGCTAAATGACGAGTTAATGGGTGCAGCACAGCAACATGGCACATGAACACTTATGTTACAAACCTGCACATGGTGCACATGTATCCTAAAACTTAAGGTATAATAATAAAATAAAATAGAATAAAATAACACAATATACACCAATACAGATTAACCAACTAAAAAATTTGTAGAGAAAGGTCATTTAAAAAATATGAAGGATAGAGTAATAATCTAACACGTTGAAATCTAAGAAGGAGAAAACAGCTTGTCTGAACAGCATTTTAAGTGGCAATGTTAGAGGCTTTATCAAAATTGACCAATAATATTAAACGACAGGTTCAGGAGGCTTTTCCAAGCAAAGGAAAACACACACAGAGGTCACATCTAGAAACATAATGGGACAATTTCTGAAAAGTAAAAGAAAAATGTAAAGAGCACTTGATAAAAAAATTGGGCTAACTACAAAGAGAAAGAGTTGACTGATAACAACTTTCTCAAATGAAACTACGAAAGCCAACAAGTGAGGTATTGATATCTTTCAAGTCCTGAAATAAAATAAGTGCTGACCTAGAACTGTCTACTTGGTGGACATATCCATCAAAAGCAAAGACACAATAAAGAATTTCTCCCAAGCAGACCCACAGGAAAGGAAATACTAAAGATTATTCTTCAGGTAGAAGAGCCATGATCTCTGATGAAAGTTTGCAGATAGAAGAACAATTTTTTAATGAAAGAAATAAACATAGAAATTTAATTGGATATTGACTCTATAACAGAATGCTATCTCATAAAATTTAAAATGTATCTTCCATTCAACGGCAGAAGCATATAAGTTGTGAGTTGGATAAATTAATTTTAAAATATTGTCAAGTTTTCTTTTTTTCTGCAAATAGACAGATGTACCAATTATATTAGACCCTGAATTCAAGAATGCACGTTGTATTAAACCAGTTAAAACATAACCAGATCAGATGTTTTAAATGGACTCTCTTAAAGTTTTTATAATTTATATTCATATTTCACATATGTTGAAAGTAAATAATGGAAAAGCATGCAATGCAAATATTAACCAAAATATAGCTTTAGTTGTACTTATATTCACATTTTAAAAGTTGGACACAGTTAAGTCTCAGTGATTTTTTGACACAACGGAGGCAACCTGTGCAGTTATAACTAGTATTATATTATGCCCTTGGCCTGATTACAGAAGGGAAAGGGGAGATCATACCAGACAATGGCAGAATGAAGCAACAAGGAGTAGAGTTACAGAACATGATGCTGTAACTGGGACTGGAGTTACACTTTTAGACTTAAAGAATAGTAAACTGGACAAAATATATGAAACATTTTTTTGAAGTACTGAACATCAGGCAGTACAGGACTGTGCTCAGCAAGAGAAGAGAAGGAGCCAGAATGAGTCCTGCTTTATTCCCAGATTATCCGTGACAGCAGTAGGGAGGAATCCCAGAGAAAGCAGACATTGTCATTGCACTGAGGAACCAGATAAAAATCAAAAAAGGTTAAGCAGCTGGAATGTGTAGTAGAAGAGAACGTTTACAGAAAAAGAAACCAAGAATCAGCCTAAGGATTCTTCCACATCCCTAAGCCAAATGTACATAGGATGAAATTCTAATGAGCTCAGCAAAGGAATGTACCAGGGAGTTGGAAGAAGAACATTTCCCTGGCATCACATGACAGGAAGACACGTTAGCTCTGACCAGCCAGAGAAGGGAATCCCCTCTGTACCTCCAGGATATTCAGTAAAGACCACCGGAAGTTCATGCCCTAGTGACAGTGCTCATTTAGCTCCAAATTACAGATGGCTCTAGACTAACTCAACGAAGTTTAAAGAGAAGATTTAAAACAACAACAGAAAAATACTCATCCTGAAGTTACTGAACTGCCTGCCACATCATTGTTCAAAGGTAGCCAATCAAATCTAGATATTCAATAGCATAACACCAAAATACCCCCAAAAAAACCTCTGACATGCAAAGAAGCCGTAAGATGTATATGATTAAGACATATATTAACAGGATAAAAATAAGTTATTTATAAATGACAGAGAAGAAGGAAATTTCAAGGTCCTTAAAGTAAATATATTTTATAAATACATATAGATAAATACATGTGTATGTCAAGGTACTTAAATGAAAAATTGAACATAGGAGAAAAATAGAAGTTATAAAATGAAAAATGTGACATGTATAGATGAAAAATAAATATTTGAAATAAAAATTCCATGAGATAGAATAAGTAATGGATTTTACCCTAACATCAGAAAATTTATAGAACAAAATAGAAGATTTACAAACTAAACGACAAAGGGTAAACTAAAATAAGACAGCCAGAAACTCACTGATACGTCAGAAAATATGCATCAGTGTAACATATATGTAATCAATATCTCAAAAAGGATGGGTGGGGGAATTATAGGTGAATAAAGAATGGTACACTCATTCCTGAGGGCACCGTGGAGGGAGGATAGCTTTGGATTCCTAAGAGATGGTATTATCCATTGATGAATGTCCAACCCCCATGAACAAACACCTCCCAGTGAGCCCCACCTGCAACATTGGGGATCAAATTTTAACGTGAGATTGGAAGGGGCAAGCATTCAAACCATAGCAAGAGTTAAATTTCCTTCTTAAAAAAAATCACTGATATGATTCCATTTCGCCATAGATAAAAGCTAGTATTTCAGCCTACCATTGAGTGTGCTTATAGCTCACCAAAAGGGCACTCTGTCTCGGGAATACAGATTTGCCTAGAGGTATCTTATTGCAGTCAAAGAAAGAGCAATGAGGGATAGAAAAGGTTAGTGATGGAGACACCAGCGCTGCATTTTGCAACAATGTAAAAACTTTACAGATAGGTTCTGCCAACTTACTACAGTTTACATTCCTCTCAGGTGAGAGAATTGTTGCGTTTTTTCTTAAGATAGAAAAGCAATTCAGATAACCTGAAATCTCCACAAGAAGGATAAGAGGCACAGCAGAAACTATCCTAGGCAGGAAGTGAATCCTTTCAACTGTCTGTGCTCCATAGAAAAAATTGTCTGCACTGGGAGTCATATGAGGTACAGACCACAGCCAGACCTCTGATCCTCTCATTAGTGATTTCAGAAGAATTACCAGTCAACTGAGTAATTCACTGAGTAAAGTAAACATTTGGCACTGAAAGAGGTTAGACGGTTAACTATTTGTATCACCATATTCATGAAGCTGGAATATGTTCCATTACTCGTATGACATCCGAATGGAAGATGTTGAAAGGTCTCTCATCTTGTAAGATGGATATGAAAGAACATTTTCTGAGAAATGAAATTCTTAACACACTTGCGAGGTGGATGGAAGAGAAAAAAAAGAATAATCAGCTTGAGTTCTTCTCCTTGATAAGACAACTCACTAAAAACATAAAGAGAAAAATACAAGTTTAAAATAATTAACCAGAAGAAGACGACTCTAGAGTTTTTAAATTGCTGATAAGATTTTAATTTGCTCCAAGTTGAAAATAATTATATTGCTTGTGTTTTAAGGCACATAATGAGCAATTAAACCACACATGATAGTTTCAGCAGTAAAATATCCGTTAACAGCTGGAACTCATAAAAGCATAGCACAATGTGAAGATGGAATTTACTAAAATAAACCATCTGCTGAAAACTGCTTTTCTGCAAATTTAAAAATAAAGTTTAAATGTTATTTGTCTTATTTAATAGGTCTGTGAAAAAAATGCGATATTTGAAAAGTAGGTGCTACCTTAATTAGTTCTGTATGTTAGACGGCTGGTTACAGTAATGTACAGTAAGGTGCTACATAGATATATTGCTAATTTTCTGCATATACTATGTATTTGGCTTAAATTATTTGAAATTTTATAGTTAAAGTAACAAATGTATACTTAAATGTTTTGATACAAATTGCAAATATACCTTCAAAAAGTGTCTTACACTCTAAATATTATTTGTCACCTATATATTTGTCTTTTCTCTATAGGAAAGTTTAAATTTTTCCCTTGAAGCTTTAATTATTTGAGTCTATAAAATAAACTGATAATGTACAAATTAACAGGAAAAAAAGGTTTACAGATATGTGCACAAGTATGCACTGGGAGTTTACATAATATATATAATATATCTATACAAATATTTGTATCTTATAAACAGATATACAAATATATACTATATATATAAAAACTCCAGGAAAGGCAAGGTAGTCAACACGCCTATGCTGTCTTGAGGTTACAGAAAACACAGAGCTGTAGGTTGGTAAATCAGGCTTTGCGGAAGACAGGTGACGACAAGGAAGAAAGAGGAGCCTGGCAGCAGAGGTGGTCTTGTTACATGCGTGAAACCTCACAGGGAGCAGCCCCCCTCTTGGGAAGTATGGCTAGGAAATGGTTTTTAGAAATGTAAACACGCCAGACTCAGTTAATCTTTCCTAAACCCAGACAAGGGAGTATCTCAGGGAAAGCCTGTCTATATCAATGCAGATTTTCTCTACAAATACAAATCTCCCCAACAAACACAGCTTTTCAGCTATTTTTGTAGAAGAAACTATCTCCAGTCTTCCGAGTAGCCATCTTGAAAAATGTCAAAAAGCTGGCCAGGCGCAAGCCTGTAATCCCAGCACTTTGGGAGGCTGAAGTGGGTAGATCACCTGAATTCAGGAGTTGGAGACCAGCCTGACCTATATGGTGAAACCCCGTCACTACTAAATACAAAAAATTAGCCGAGTGTGTTGGTGCATGACTGTAATCTCAGCTACTTGGGAGGCTGAGCTAGGAGAATTAGTTGACCCTGGGAGGCTGAGGTTGCAGTGAGCCAAGATTGTGCCATTGCACTCTAGCCTGGGCAATAAAAGCTAATCTCCATCTCAAAAAAAATGCATTTTTGGGTAATATTTTGAGTATCTTTACCTCCATATGTACAATAAATAATATTGTGATTTTTAATCTTTACTCTTCTGTGGAGAAAACACAGGTGTGATTTCTAGTGTAGCTGAACATCGTTTATTTGACAATATTGCAGTTGTGTGTGGGTGTGTGCCTGTGTAGCTACTCTTTAGTTTTGTTCTCACATAATGATTAGATATTAACAATTAATTCAGAAAAATGTATGTTTTGCAATATTTCTCCATGTTATTATGCTTTAAATTCGTTTAATCATGCCCCTATAATGTGTACATTTTAACCTTTGACTATAGGCCTCAATCTTACTTTGGAACCTGTGTTACAATTTATGCTAATAAAGTCCTACAGCTAAAAAAGATTACATAAACTTATCTACATTTTTACTAGTATTCTGGTGTCATTTTAAATTATGTAATGAAATCAAATTTTAATTTTGATTATTGTTATCTCAGTTAAGGATCTAAATTTTTAATTTTCTTATAAGTATTACATAATTATTTCTGAACCATATGTTGACTAATCTGCCCTTTGTATGATGTGCATTATAAGTGCTAGGGATTGTTTCATTTGCAAAGATGAATGCTTGAGAAGTAGATATTTAATCATAACATTTCAAAATCTACTGGATAACCAAGAATTGAAAAATAGCCTATAGGTTGAAAAACCCCTGTAGTGAAGAAAGAAAATAACTAATATACAGTGACAATATAAATATTATAAGTATTTATTTTATTATCGCCCTGAAATTTGATAATAAAAACATGTAATATCTACATATCATCCATATATCAGGTCCTAAAAAATCAATACATTCTTCAAAAATTTAGCATAACAGAAAATGCACTCCCTCTCCTTGATGGAATTAAGTTACAAATAAAAGTGAAAATAAGTAGATAAGTAGATGGAAGTAGATGTTTAAAAACAAAGAAAAAAATTTGTTTTGGATAACTTAAAATCTCAATTGACAATTCCAATATTTCCAGAACTTTGCCTGTCAACTGGTGGAGAGTTTTCCCCAGGAGACATTTGTCAATGTCTAGGGATATTGTGGGGATGTCAAGACTGGTGGAGGTGTGAAATTTAGAGGTCAAACGAAACACCTAGCATTGCTAGGGCAGCCTCCCACAACAAAGAATCCTCTGGTCCTAAAGGTAAGTAGCACCAAGGTTCAGAAACCATAATCTAGACAGGAAACACTATGTAGCTATTCCAAGTGCTCAGGAAAACACATCAGTGCCCTCGAGGGGAAAAGTGTAAACATTTTAATTGCTGTACCTGGTGACACAAATCCATGTTGTTAATCTAAGTGGAAGGGGCTGAAGCACAAAACGTAATTCAAAGAGTTTACTTGAGCCACAATGAGGACAGCTGCCTGGAAGAAACAGACCCAAGTATCCTTGGATATGAACTCCCTTTGGAGCTTTGCAAGAAGCAGTTCCTTAAAGGCAAAAAAGGGTCCAGGAGTGGGATGATGCAAAGAGGTTTGTCACAAATTCTCATTGGCTTATGGAAATAACATTTATTAGTGACTGGCTATACAATGTTACACTATAATTGGGTGTGGATTATCGTGTCGTGTGTGGCGTTATTGGTTAATTTATAGCTACTGTGGCAACAGCAAGCAGCCTAGATGAACACACAGCTCAAAGAGGAGCAGGACAGAACTGTTGTCTCATTTGAATATCTCTCTGGACCTGATTATTTAAAAGGACTTGCATTTCTCACATGAAAGTTATTTTCTTTTCTCGATGTCCATAAATGAGAATAAATAGATGTAAAATAGATCTTTTCGAGGATGAAGTAAATGAAATGAAAAACAAAACCCAAGCTGACCAGAAATCATAGAGGGAAGAAAAGGTTATAAATATATGGATTTTTCAAAGTGATTTTAAGCTATTAGGAATCAGTTAAATGTTGGGGGAATTTGTCTGAGAATGGGCTAAAGGAGAATGTCCCTTTTGCCTTCTGAAGTTTCCCTGAAAATCACTAATAGGAGGCAGATAAATAGTAGAAAAGGCATACAGGTTTCTGCAATGTGTGCACACTGGACCCCTTAGAACGAAGACCCAGACACATGATGCGTGCAGAAGCTTATCTAGCACATGAAGTTTACAGAAAGAATGGGGTCTTGGATCACAGGGAAAAGAAAGAAAAAGGTTATATGAGGAAACGAACCTAGCTAGCAACAGTGGACTTATTACATAGGTGGAACCTCACTGGAACAGTCCTCAGAGAGAATAGACAGAAAATGTTTCTTTCAGACCTTTGGAGACCTCAGACTCTCAGTTAAATTTCCTGGATCCAGACAAGGGGGAAGACCTCAGAGAAAGCTTGGCTGCATCAAGGCAGATTCTATACCGATGCAAATCTCCCCAAGACAGCTTTGCAGCTAAGTTTGCATTTCCAGCCCTTCTCAACAGCCATTTTGAAATATATCAAGGAAATATATTTAGGGGTAAAATATATTAGTTTCCCTCTTTCAGCTATAAAACATACAGGAATAATTTTTGTCAATGTCTACTACAAATCCAATATAGCAGTAATTATAAAACCCTCCAGATATTGAAGAAAAAAACATGTAGAGTACCTCCATTACAAATGTTGATACTAAAATGCTAAATAAAATAATAATATCCAACAATATTTGAAACAGTAAGACAAGAAATTGGCAAAAAAAAAAAAAAACAAATATCCACCTTGGGGATGAAAGTGTGTTTCCAAATTTGGTAATCCAATAATATTAATAATCATATTGATTAGCCTAAATTAAAAATAAATAGGGGATTCTCAGTACATGCTGAAGTATATTTGTTAAAAGGCAATATTCATGCCTTAAAGATTTTAAATGCTATAAAGTGTCTTATATTCTATATGCAAACATCTGTATGTCCATTAGAAGAAGAGAGGCCTGATTTTCATATGTCACTACATAGAGATAGAGAAGTGGATAGATTAATTTGCATATGCATAGAGAAAGCATAACATAGAAATTTACTATCATATTAAAGGAATTTTAATTCAACAATAAAATAATTCAAAGGTAAAATTTTAAATATTTTTAACAGGTACATTTTTATATTAGATAATATTTATAATAATTGTGAAAATATTCAATGCTAAAATAAGATAGAATGTCTAAACATCAGTATTAAAACTAGTATAAATATTTGCTTGTTTATACAAGGAAAATTCAAGCTCGACCTAAAATTATATGGGAAATAAAAGAAAAATTTTAAGGGAGCTGTTTAATAACATAATCATATGTATATATAAACACACACATATAACATGTATATATGTTATATGGGATAGATATAGATTTAACATGTTATATCTATATTTGTATCTATAACTACAGTTGTATGTATCTATATTTCTATATATTTACTTAGTGATATAAATATAGACTGGAATAAATATATAGACACATATGATTCTTGGATAAAAAAGATTTAGTATCATAAAGACAAATTCTTTCCAAATTCACTTATGAATTCACAACAATATACAGTTTCATTAGTATAATTTAAAATTTTTAAATAAATTCCTATATTCATTTAAAGGAATATACATGTATACAAGCAGTCAAGAAAGAAGCAAGAGTGCACTAAACTAACTTGCTATTAAAATACATTTGTAAAGTTAGTCACTAAAACTGAGCAGTACTAATTTGGATTACTGGAATTTAGGTATATGGGATCCCAAAAGCACAGAGCTAAAAAGAGACCCCTGTATGCATGAGAGCTTAGGATGTGCTTTAGAAGGCATTACCAAACCACGGGCAAAGTAACTTTAGTGTCTTAGTCTTACCAGGTTTGAGAAGCCAGAGAAAAGACTCAAGAACACTATATAAGGGCAAAACAAAAGAACAGGGAGGGAATGTGAAGATACTGAAATATTTTACATAAATTTGTATAAAACATCCTTTAAAGAAAACGTAAAGTTTATGATATACATCAAAATCAGCAGAGCCACTAAATAAACAAATAGGCATTGTAAAATAGCAAGAGAAAATTCAAATGGATTTCTAAAAAATATTGACACCTATGATTTTTAAAATATGTTTAAGAAATCGCGTATTTCACAGGGCAGCCTTTCACAACACAGATATATTAGGACATAAAGGTCCTTCTGTTTTTAATTTACTAGTGTTTATAGGGTTACAAATGTCTTCTATCCTTGTCTTTTGTCTGATGGTGCAAAAAATTTTCATAAGCATGTATTTCTGAATGCCTGATGGATTGACATATATAATAAGCTGCTAGTATTAAAATATGTGACATAAAACGCATCCAGTCTTCTCACTGTTTACATAAATTCTAGGTTTCCCCTATATACCTCAAGCACGTATGGAGCGAATTCTTACCTTTTAATATTGCCATGGCATTCACATTGAACATAAGTTGAACTCTCTCATATGGTAGCTGGGTCGGATTCCCTTGAAAATTTCCGGTTCTAACCCTCACAGTTCCTCAGTGTGGCTGGCCCAGATATTGACCCTACACAGTTGCCTCCTCCTGGTGACTACCAGCTATGGAACCATTGGATACAACCTACCTGACTCACCCCACAAACCTCACAGTGCACATGGACAGCCCCCACACGCAGGTAATGTTCTGGGCCCAATAAAGGCTGGAGTCCCACAGACCCCTTTTCTGTCTCCTGCTCCCCACTCATCTTCACCATTTTGTTCAACCCTATGAGGTGTGCTACTGTATTAGTCCCTTTTCATACCGTGGTAAAGACATGCTCAAGACTGGGTAATTTCCAGAAGAAAGAGGTTTAATACACGCACAGTTCCACATGGCTGGGTAGGCCTCACAATCATGGTGCAAGCTGAAAGGCACGTCTCACATGGCAGCAGACAAGACAAGAGAGCTTGTGCAGGAAACTCCCCTGTACAAAACCATCAGATGTTGTGAGACTTATTCACTATCAGAAGAAGAGCATGGGAAAGATCTGCCCTCATGATTCAATTACCTCCCACCTGTTCCCTCCCACAACATGTGGGAATTCAAGATGAGATTTGGCTGGGGACACAGCTAAACCCTCTTCTCAGCTACCATCTTCTCTCTGGATCTGTGAGTAATAAACCTACTTCTGTGATTTCCCATGTTTGGTTCTGTGGCCTCCATGTGTCTGAGCTGACCTACACTGGAACTCTCCTCCTGGCCAGGGTCTCTGAGAGTGGCTCTTGTCAGAAATACACAGGACACAGGTCAGGCAACAGTCACCAGACATCTCCTAGTCTCAACAGATGTTCTGTGAGAGGGAGGCCTGGTCGTGGGATGTACACCTGGCCACTGCTGGGGTAAGGAAGTGTCCTGTGAAAGGCACATGTTAAGCATCCACAACCCCCTGACCAGAACCCCAGAAAGGCAGGGCTGCAATTGACAGTCACTCTCCAGAGACAAACCTCAAGCCCTAACTGGAGGAAAATAAAACAAAGTAAAAAGTTGAATTTATCTTACTATTTCAATGATCCAGTAAAGACATTCTATGCCTGTACACCACATATTTTCTTTGATTGTGGATTTATTTTAGATAGAATTTTAGGTCTGGCTTTCACTTTAGCCTGGTCCCTACCTCAAGCATAAGGTAAAGATTTTCCATGCGTTCTTTTCAGGTACTACTACCTGTCAGTGTGGGGTCATGTCCTAGTCTATCTTGAGGGAATCCCCCTGTTCATTATTGTCAGAGTGAGACTGTTAAGTCTTGATTTCCCTGGACAACTTCACTGCATGACTTTTAATATGATTTTTTAATATACCCTTTACTGGACAATAAATTATATCATTATCTGAGTAAGAGATATGGTCAGGAAGAGGCATTGCCTCATTCAGCTTTTCTCTTTGGTGAACTCGCATATGTTCTCCTCATCCACCAGTCACCTCTAAACCGTATTGTTCCAAGACAACGAAAAGAACTCGAGTGTGTATCTTTCACCACTGGATTTGTGTTTGCTCCATAAAGCTTCTTGCTTAATAGGGTTTCTGTTAGCATTATCTCTATTTTCCCATAAAATATCACAGGCCTTCTTCATATGGAATTATGGGTGATTTCCTTCAATCTGCATCATATCAAGTTGAGGTTCATGTTGATGAAAATAAAGCATACTTTGAAAATATCAGTGATGATGTTTCCTCCTCCTTTTTAGCACCTGTGCTTGTGATACAAGCACATTTTAATACAATTGTGGTCTCATGCTTTGATCATTCCTATGATGAAAATAACAATTTTAGATAAAATATCTGAGTTTTATGAGGCCTTTAGTATGTGATGTGATAGAATATAAGAAGACCATACTTTTTTCTAGTTGTCCATGCAATTCTATCATTATTTCATCTTTACTCCTACCAGAGTAATTTTCCAAAATAGAAATCTTGTCATTCTTCCTGTTGTTATCAGTAAATAAGTGAAATGAAAAGCTAGATTATATAATTTATCTAGAACAAGAAAGTAGAATTGAATCTATATTCATTAATGAGACTAACCAGTCAATTACACAGATAGACATTTTACATTTTGAAGATCATATGGACCCATTGTCCGAAATATTATTATTTATGTCTATATGGACATCACCTGTGCATATTTACATAGAAATCAATGACAGCTGATTTTTATTTTTATTACATATATTTTTTGAGATAGGGTCTTGCTTTGTTGCCCAGGCTGGAGTGCAGTGGTGCAATCACTGCTCACTGCAGCCTCAACCTCCCAAGCTCAAGCAATCCTTCCACCTTGGCCTCCCAAATAGCTAGGACAAGTGCACACCACCTTGCCCACTTTTTTTTATTATACTTTAAGTTTTAGGGTACATGTGCACATTGTGCAGGTTAGTTACATAGGTATACATGTGCCATGCTGGTGCGCTGCACCCACTAACTTGTCATCTAGCATTAGGTATATCTTCCAATGCTATCCCTCCACCCACCCCCAATCCCACCACAGTCCCCAGAGTGTGATATTCCCCTTCCTGTGTCCATGTGATCTCATTGTTCAATTCCCACCTATGAGTGAGAATATGCGGTGTTTGGTTTTTTGTTCTTGTGATAGTTTACTGAGAATGATGATTTCCAATTTCATCCATGTCCCTACAAAGGATATGAACTCATCATTATTTATGGCTGCATAGTATTCCATGGTGTATATGTGCCACATTTTCTTAATCCAGTCTATCATTGTTGGACATTTGGGTCAGTTCCAAGTCTTTGCTATTGTGAATAATGCCACAATAAACATATGTGTGCATGTGTCTTTATAGCAGCATGATTTATAGTCCTTTGGGTATATACACAGTAATGGAACGGCTGGGTCAAATGGTATTTCCAGTTCTAGATCCCTGAGGAATCGCCACACTGTCTTCCACAATGGTGGAACTATTTTACAGTCCCACCAACAGTGAAAAAAACAAGCAATGGGGAAAGGATTCCCTATTTAATAAATGGTGCTGGGAAAACTGGCTAGCCATATGTAGAAAGCTGAAATTGGATCCCTTCCTTACACCTTATACAAAAATCAATTCAAGATGGATTAAAGACTTAAACATTAGACCTAAAACCATAAAAACCCTAGGAGAAAACCTTGGCATTACCATTCAGGACATAGGCATGGGCAAGGACTTCATGTCTAAAACACCAAAAGCAATGGCAACAAAAGACAAAATTGACAAATGGGATCTAATTAAACTAAAGAGCTTCTGCGCAGCAAAAGAAACTACCATCAGAGTGAATAGGCATCCTACAAAATGGGAGAAAATTTTCGCAACCTACTCATGTGACAAAGGGCTAATATCCGGAATCTACAATGAACTCAAACAAATTTACAAGAAATAAACAAACAACCCCATCAAAAAGTGGGCGAAGGACATGAACAGACATTTCTCAAAAGAAGACATTTATGCAGCCCAAAAACACATGAAAAAATCCTCATCATCACTGGCCATCAGAGAAATGCAAATCAAAACCACAATGAGATACCATCACACACCAGTTAGAATGGCAATCATTAAAAAGTCAGGAAACAACAGGTGCTGGAGAGGATATGGAGAAATAGGAACACTTTTTTTTTAAATTTTGATAGAGACTGTGTCTTGCTATGTTGCCCAGGTTGCTTGGCAACTCCTGGGCTCAAGGAATCCTTTCATTTCAGCCTCTTCAACTGCTGGTATTACAAGCATGAACCACCATATGGGCTGGAAGCTGATTTTTACAATACTGAGATCATATAGATGACAGCACCTGAAAAATAGACAACACAAAGCTTTATGTTATAAGGTGTGAGAGTATCAATATTGTTGTGGATATTGGGGAGGAAAACATTAGTAAAACCAATAAGTTAAAGCTCTTGCTTTAATTTAACTTTGGCTTTAATTTAACAAATGTTCTATGGAGTGACAATATGTATGTAACCATGCTATGCCCATTCACAGATGCAGTAGAGGGAAGAATTTCTCAAACACAACTGTTCTAAGACTCAAATTAAACCGTACTGGGTTTGAAAAGAGAAAGTCCAGGAATTACCAAATATTTTAGATATGAGATACAAGAGAATGCCAGGTATGCGATGATAATCAGCAATTGTTGTTCACACAATACATCAAATCAGTATTTGAATTAGCTTTTGAATTACAAGGACAACTGGATCAAGTCTAGACTCTTTAGTAGATAAATCTTATTAGGCAGAGATGTGTTTTCCCCTGTTTTTCCTCAAGGAGATTACAAATTTGCAAACCTCAGCTGCTCTCATTTTATGCTCTCACCAAGCCAAAAGCTGAAGTTCATCAATCAGTGTATCTAAGTGTTCACTGGTTATATACCAGTTTGTAGTGTCAGCTAACTTTCCAACTTCCTAAATCATCACCTTTATTTGATCTTGTTTTTTTCCACTATCACTTCTTTATTGACCATAAAAAGAATATAAGTAAGTTTTTATTTTGTTATTGTTCATTTTAGTCTAATTTCATCAAAAGATCACAATCTTTTAATTTCATTTTAGTTTCAAAGATTAAATGAAACCTACATCGAAATGAGTGTAAGATTTGCATTTGCATTATTTTGGCATCAATTTGCTATCCTCCGTCATGCACATAGAGAT
Organism: Homo sapiens; assembly: GCF_000001405.40. Lineage (NCBI taxonomy): Eukaryota > Metazoa > Chordata > Mammalia > Primates > Hominidae > Homo > Homo sapiens. Next base: position 60,980,499 of record NC_000007.14, read on the forward strand.
CATTTCCATGTACATGATTTCAAACATCCAAGTGCAGTATTAAAAGCAGTTGTAAATTTTGGTTCTCATTTTCATGATACAATTACAATATAAACTTCCTCTTGCTGCTGTGACCAATTACCACAAACTTCATATCTTACAATAAATTGACCATTAATCCTACAGTTCTGTAGTTCAGAAGCCTTAAGTGAAACTCACAGGGGTAACATCAAGTTTTGGGCAAGGCTGCAGTCTTTCTGATGGCTATGTGGCTGAATCTATTACTTGATTTTTTTCAGCATCCAGAGGCCACCTTTATTCCTTGAACATTGCCTCATTCTTAGATCCTATTTTTCTTTTCTTTTTTTTTTTTTGAGATGGAGTCTCCTTCTGTCACCCAGGCTGGAGTGCAGTGGCACAATCTCAGCTCACTGCAACCTCTGTCTCCCGGGTTCAAGTGATTCTTCTGCCTCAGCTTCCTGAGTAGCTTGGACTACAGGCACTTGCCACTACGTCCAGTTAATTTTTTGTATTTTTAGTAGGGATGGGGATTCACCATATTAGCCAGGATGGTCTCGATCTCCTGACCTCGTGATAAACCCTCTCCTGCCTCCCAAAGTGCTGGGATTAGGCGTGAGCCACCGCGCTGGGTCCTCATTCTTGTATCTTAAAAGTCAGTGATGTTGAGTAATTTCTCATGCCACCACCTCCAAGGTTGCCTTTCTTCTGCCTTCTTCTTTCACTTATAAGGAAGTTTGTGATTTCATTGATCCCACTCATTTAAGACAATCTCTCTATCATTTTTCTGCAACCTTAATTTCACTTGACATCTAATTTCACACTGCCGTGCAACCTAACATATTTGTATCTTAGACTCTGAGAATTAGGACATGAAATTTTTTGGGAGGCCATTCTTTGGCCTACAGCAGACAATCTATTTACCTGCAGATTAAAGCGTTCTTTATTTTTCTGTCTCCCTCTCTTAATTTTTTTAAAATAATATGAGTTGTAGTAAAGAGAAAGAAAGAAAAGAAAACAAAGAAAGAAAAAAAGGAAGGAAAGAAGGAAGGAAGGAAATAAAGAAAGAAAGAAGAAAGAAAAAAAGGAGGAAATGAGGGAAGGAAGGGAGGGAGGGAGGGAGGAAGTGAGAAAGGAGGCAGGAAGGGAGAAAAAAGAAAGCATGAACACAAGAAAGAAAGAAGGAAAGAATGAGAGAAAGAAAGAAAGGAGGAAGGGAGGAAGAAAAGGAGGAAAAGAGAATGGTAAAAGGGAGGAAGGCATAGAAAGAAAGAAAATAAAGAGACAAAGGAAGGAAGAAAAAAGAGGAAAGGAAGGGAGGGAGGAAGGAATAAAAAGAGGGCGGGAGGAAGGTAGAAAAAAGGAAAGAAAGGAAGTACGTGAGAAAGAAAGAATATGAGAAAAGAAGGAAGAAAATTGAGGGAGAAAGGAAGGGAGGGAGGAGGGAAGGAAGAATAAGAGGAAAGAAAAGAAGGAAAGAAGGAAGGAAGGAGAAAAAAAAGAAAAGAAAGAAAGGTAAAGAAAAAAGAAAAGAAAAGGAAGATGAAAAGAAGAAAGGAAGGAAGAAAGCAAGGGAAGGGAAGAGAAGAGAAAGGAAGATGGAAAGAAGGAAGGAAGAACGCAAATATTAGAAATTCTGGGTTTGATAGAGAATATGCCATACTCATTTTTTTCACTTGAAAGGAAAGAGTATCTGCCATTGAAGATTGGATGTCTTGTTGGTGATATTGTTGTTCTTATCTTCCACATGACTACTGAGTTAGTGCCTAGTCTTTCCATTACTAAGACAAAAGTGTTGATGTCAGCAAATACAATTTTGGATTTTTCTAGTTCACCTTTGATTTCTTTCCTGTTTTACCTCATGTATTTGGAGGTTCTGTTGTTAGCTGCATAACCTAATTAGTAGGATGTTTACATCTTCTTGAGATTTGATTATTCTATTATCTATTATCTCTCATCTCTGATACTATTTCTTGTTCCGAACTCTGTTGTGTCTAATATCAATGTAGTCCTTCCACAGCTTTATTTTAGTGTTTCCATGATATGGCTTTCTCCATATCTTCATGATAACCTATTTATATCTCTATATATTTGGAGCAAGATATAAAATTTAGACTTGATTTTTTAAAGATTTTTCAACATGTACTTCTTATTTCTTTTTGTTCTATTTGACATTCTCTGAGTTTCCTATATTTGAAGTTTGATTTTCTGTCACTTCTTTTAGAATATTTTTGGCAGTTATTTTGAAAAATATTTCTTTTTCTCCATTATTTTTCCCTCTTTTCTTTTTGGGATTTCAATCATAACTAGAGTAGGTAATTTCATCTCAGTCTTATGCAGGTACTTTTTCTCAGGGTCTCAGGAATGCAGCCTTCTCACACTTCTGTTCTTTTCCTGGCTGTGTTGGTGAGCTCAGTGATATTCCTCCTTCACCTTCAAGAGCAGTTTTGTTTTGTTTTTCCTGTTTTCATAATCCCAGCATCAGGAGTATCCTAAGTTTGGCAGTTTTTGTTGCCTTCCCCTACATATTAAGTGGAATATCTTGCTCTATTTGGACTCTTATAACAAAATAACATAAACCGGGTGACTAAAAAACAACAGATATTTCTTTTTTCACACTTCTTGAGGCTGTAAGATCTCAGGTCAAGATGCTCACCAATTCAGTGTTGATGAGAGCCCATTTCATGGTTCATAGATGTTGCCTTCTTTCTATGTCCTCACATAGTGGAAGGCACACAAGAACCCCATTGAGCTTCTTTTATAAAGGCACTAATCACATTCATAAGGGCTCGGCCCCCAAGACCTGGTCACCTCCCAAGTGTTCTGCTCTCCCTGATCTGTGTCATATACAGACTCTCTTGAATTCCTTACCAATTGCTTGAGAGATCGCAGTGGGTTTGTGGGAAAAACTTTTCAAGATGATGGATCTTTCCCAACTTCTGCAGCTGTCAGCTGTCTCCCAATCTCACCAGCCCCACTTTGCTTTTAGGAATTTATTGATTATTCCAGCTTTACTTGTCATAGTGGTGTCTATTTGCATCTGTCCTATATAAGTGCATCCATCCTCTTTCTCCTTGCAGTTGCATGTTTTCCCTCACATTTTTACTCAGTTCTTGGCAACCTCATTGCTATAAAAATAAAGTCATGATTTTGAAGTTCGTTTGGTTCTTTCATTGTTGTCAGGTTAGGAACCCTATTCCATCCCAGATCTCCAAAACCCAGACTTTTGGGGGTTGAAATTTTAGGCTTTCTCTTTGAATTGTAGTTTTATCTTCTTTCAGTTACCATTTGCATTTTCATAATGATTAATGAGACTAAGCTTTGTTTGTGTAGTTGACTGTACCTTTGGATTTTTATCCCAAATACCTTTTTATTTCTTCTTTTCTTTATGGTTTTAGAATATGTAGTTTACATAATTGCAGCTTGAATTTTTAATCAGTTAATGGCATGCTTAATGGAGAGAAAAATATTAAATATATTTCCCTTTTAAATTACTGTGCTTTTTTCTTTTCTAAGGAAATGTTTCATTATGTTAAATTTCAGTGTTATTCTACTTAGCTATTCCTCAAATATTATAGTATTTTGGATTTCACATGTAAATTTGTAACATATCTTGAGTTTATTATGTATAGAGTAAGGCTATTTTCCCTTTTTTGTTTTTTAAGGTAAAAATCACATAATATAAAATTAATAACAACCATTTTAAAGCATACAATGCACTTGCTTTTAGTATATTCACAATGTTCCAGGGCAATTTCATCATGTCCCTTCCAAAAACCCATTATGCATAAAGTTGTTACACCCTATTCTGCTTCCCTGAGCCCTAATGACCACTAATCTGATTTATATCCCAATTGATTTGCAAATTCCTGATGTTTCATGTGAATAAAATCAAGTAATACTTGCCCTTTTGTGCACTTAACATAATGCTTTCAAATTTCACCAATATTATACCATATATAAGTACTTCATTCTTTGTCATAGCTGAAAATTCAGTGTCCATTTATGAGTCAACAAGCTTATGTATTGTTTCCACTTTTTGACTGAATGAATATTACTGCTGTCAATATTCATGCACATGTTTATTTTTTGAGCACCTATGTTTTGTAAGATTAAGAGCTGACTTAAGAAAAACAATGGAAGGCAAGAGGCAGTAGAATAATATATTCAAAAGATGCAAAGGAAAAAAAACTCTCAGCCACGAATTCCTTATCCAGCAATTATTTTTCAAAAATGAAGATAACACAAAGACTTACCCAGATAAACAGAAATATTAACTGAAGTCATTGCTGGCAGACCTACCATATAAAGAAAAACTCTAAAATAAATTCCTAAGGCTAAAAGCAAGTTACAGAAGACAGTCACTTGAATCCACACTTTTAAAAAAGCACTGGTATAGGTAATATTGACATTATAAAGGACAGTAAAAATGCATTTTTTCTCTTTATCATAAATTGTTTATTAAATAACATGTGTATAATGGCCGGGCACGATGGCTCACACCTGTAATCTCAGCACTTTGGGAGGCCAAGGTGGGCGTATTACGAGGCCAGGAGATCGAGACCATCCTGGCTAACACAGTGAAACCCCGTTTGTACTAAAAATACAAAAAATGAGCCGGGCGTGATGGCGGGCGCCTGTAGTCCCAGCTACTCGGGAGGCTGAAGCAGAAAACTGGCATGAAGCCGGGAGATAGAGCTTGCAATGAGCGGAGATTGTGCCACTGCACTCCAGCCTGGGTGACAGAGGGAGACTCCATCTCAATGATAATAATAACATGTGCATAATGTATTGCTGAGTATTTGACATGTAGAAATGGAATACGTCTATAACATATTCTCCAGTAACATCAAAAAGGAGGTAGTTGGAAGAAAAATGTATTGTGATAAGATAATAACTCTAGATGGTAAAGTAATAATTACTTAAATGTATTGTTGGCTTTGTAACTTTAATAGATGTAATGTGTAAAGTGATAATACCTTGAAATGGAGGAAACAAAAGAGATTTATATAAGAATGATGTTTCTATGTATTACTAAAAGTTTGCTAGTATAAATTGGAAGATGATTTGAATAATTAATTTTCCATATACCTATATGGTAAACTTACAACAACAAAAATTCTCAAAAATATATAATAAAATAATTCATTAGTAATCTAAAGTTCCCTGTTATAGAAAATATTCTTTCATTGCAAAATAAAGCAATAAAGAAAAATATTTGAGAAGTATATACAACAAATGGTAAAATGGCAGACATAAATAGAATTATACCAATTATAATCTTAAATGTGAGCAGATTAAAATCCATTCTTGAGGCAGAGATTGTCAGACTGGATTAAAACAAGTGATCCCAATATACGCTGAGATGAAAGGATACTAATTGATTGAAAGTAAAAAGATGACAAAAAAATATCATGCAAAGAGCAATCATAAGAACACTGAACTCATTATACTCATAACACACAATATATACTATTAAAAATGTGAATAGGATTTTAAAAATTTATATTGTAGTAAAAAGGGGGTCAACGCTTTAGGAAGACATAGCTATTACAATCATGTATGCACAGATAGGAGCTAAATTGTTTCCTCTATATAGATGCTGAAATTCTAACCACTGAATATGACCTCATTAGGAAATAGGTTCTTTGCAGCTGATCAAGTTAAGATATAATCAGATGAGCCTGAATTCAATATGACTGATGTCCTTGTTAAAAGAAGAAATTTGAGTAGAGGGAGACATACACACAGGGAGAGTACCATGTGATTATGAGGGCAGAGATTAGCCAAGGAATGCCAAAGACTGCCACTAAACCACCAGAAACAAGAAACAAGGCACAGAGCAGGCTTTCTCTCATAGCCCTTGAAGGGACCATCCCTGCTGACACCTCAATCTCAGACTTTAAGCTTCCAGGACTATAAGACTATAAGACTATAAATGTATGTTGTTCAAGGCACCCAGTTTGTGTTACTTGGTTATGGCAGCCCTAGAAAACTAATACATGAACTAATAACAAAGCATAATAACATGAAGCAAAAATTGACAAAAGAGGAGCATCAGCAAAATGGCAGTGGAGACAGCTGCAATCTTTCATTTCCCCACAGAAACATCACACAACTAAGAGAAACTGTCCGAATAAACTTTGCCAAAACTCTGGAAAATGGTCAAAAGATTACAACAACCAAGTGAAAGAAGACCCAAGAAAAAGACAACTGGAAAACTTTACGACATTTTTAACTTGCCTTTGCCCCAGCAAATTGGCAGTTTTGAAGTGTCAGAAGCCCACGTTCCCAGTGAGGAAGCCTGGTCTATGGTCCAAAGGAACAAGAGAAGATCTTACCCGCACATTATTATGTGTCTGTTCTGACTGGTCTGGGGGATACCTAAAGGACTCATGAAAGGCTTTTTTTTTCTGTGTTGCTAGAATACAGAACAGATAAGGAATGGACATTATTAAGGAACTCTGCAAGGAGACCTAACAAACCACAGATGCTTAGGGCAAAAATTAAAATTTACACATATAGTAGATCACCTTCAGCACAGCAAGCAAAGTTGGAGAAGAGTATTTCAAAAACTAAGACATACAAAATCATTCACGTACATGGGAGAGTCTAGAAAGTTACATGCATTCATAGGTTAAGCCACATGCTGACAAATGTCATAAGAAGACCCTACACTTTTACCTTGGCCGATCCCTCCCCTCAGTGCAAGCTCTGTGCAAGAGTGAACTTGAACTTCACTCAGTGCAAGAGTGAACACACACTTTGTGCCGGCATTAAAGAACCCAGCACAAAGCCAGTCTCCATGGCCTAGAGACATATTTTGCTGAACAATTATTACTTGTTTTTCTTTTTGTTTTTCTTGTATTTGCCTGTTTGATTGGTTCCTGACATACAAGAAAATCACTGTCAAAACATTAGCTTAACATTTGTTAAAGAAACAAAAAGACTTCGGTGACCACACCTTATAAAGCAAACAGTTTTGTAAATCACTTTGGAAAATTTCACTAAAAAAAAATCCTTTACAATATAATAAGTAAAGAAAATTTAAAACCACAAAACATTACTTTGTTTGTAGGGGGTGGTCTGATTTACAGAGTAACCACATAGTAATTATAATTATTAGAATGTCCAGTTTTCAAAAAACGTTACAAGGCATACAAAGAATGGGAAAGTGTGGCTCATTCAAAGGAACAAAATAAATTGACAGAAAATATCCCTAAGGAAACCCAGACATCAAACTTACCAGACAAAGACTTTAAAACAACTCTCTTCATTATACTCAAATGTCAAAAGGAAAACATAAACAAAGAAATAAAGGAATCAGAAAAAATGTTAAAAAGTAGGAATATCAGCAAAGAGATAACAGAAATTCTGGAGTGGAAAACTACAATGATAAAAATTTAAAAATCACCAGAGGGATTTAAGAGTATATTTGCACACACAGAAGAAACCATGAACTTGAAGAGAAGAAAATGGAAAATACTGACTCTGAGAAACAGAAAGAATAAAAAATAAACAATGAGCAGAGACTAATGAATCTGTGGGACATCATCAAATAGACCAACATTCATATTCTAGAAGGATAAATTATGTTGTTAAAAACTTTACCATTCTTTCTTTTCACCTTTCTTTCTTCCTCCCTCCCCCCTCCTCCTTTTTTCTTTTCTTCCTCTTCCTTTCTCTTCTTCTTTCTCTCCTTCATTATCCCTTCCGCTGTTTCTCTTTCTCCCTTTCTCTTTTTTTCTTTCAATTTTCTCAATTACTAAGAGGTGTTTAAGTACTCTTACCATGTTAGTAGATACGGTTATTTCTCCCTTTAGTTCTCTTTTGAGATTTATAGTCACTCTAAGTAAAGAGATAACCCAAACATAAGCGTCACAAACAGGCTTTCATACCATTCTTAATTTGGTCCTGTAATTCTTCATTGCTGTATTAACTTTCTGATGCTTTTAAGGATGTTTTATAACAAATTGTGTAGTTTTTTCCCATGGAATGTTTATTCTGAATTATCTGATTCATATTGTAAGTATAGAGGGAGTTTAATATAAAATTATTAAACTAATATTTGTGAAAGAATGTATTTGTGTATTTAACAAATATGTTAATCCTCAGAATGTTATTGGGCAGCTGACCATACAGGAATAAAAATAACACAATTTTTATGTGTACAATATTTATGGAATACGTTACTGGACCAAATAAATAATTTAGTTAATAACATGACAAAGAACAGAAATTGTATACACTATAGAGCATAGTAATGGAATAATGAATGATTAAAGTTATTAATATTAGGTAGAAAATGAAGGGTATCTTTGAGAGCAGAACTCAAGGAAGCAAGCAATTCATCTTATGAGGAAAGAGTTACCTGTGGATAAAGGAGAAAATGAAAAATTTACAAGTCAAGACTTTTTGAGCAAAAACAAAAATATGACTATTAGTCACCAATTCAGTACAGTGAAAAAAAGTTGAAGAGATATCTTGGAAGTAAACCATGTTGTGGAAGAGCATGTAGGGTTTTGATAATCATGATGATTCTGAATTAATTTTAAATGCGATAGGAATATATGAGATAATTTCACCAGAGAATAACATGATTGTGTTTGCATTTCAAAGGGGTGTATCTGGTTCACTGTGTAGAATAAATAGGTTATGTGAGCAAATAAATTGGGAGGCTACTCTAATCCAGAGAAAAAAGGTAGTGACTTAGGTGAGAATGCTGTCAGGATGAATGGTAGTAGTGGTGAGAAGTCGTTAGGCCATGGATGTATTTCATAGGAATGGCCAAGAGAACTGCAGCTAAATTGGAGTGTAGGGAGTGAAATGGAGAACTCAAAGATGACTCTCAGCACTGGAAGGTGACAGCTGTCACTGAAGCATGCTGATGTCTCTTATTAAGAGAGATACTTGGGAATGGCAAGATCAAAACTTCTCACTTTCAAATTTATGAAAAATATTGTTTTCAGAACGAATGACTTTGGGATCAGAAAGCCACCATTCTAATTGATGGTTCCACGACTACACGGACTCACACTCCCAAGAGCAAAAGTAAATCATCACAAAGGTGCTTCTTGATACTTCTAGAGAATGGAGAATTACTGTAACATCTTTCTGATTTTAGGAGAGGTAGCAGTTCCCTTTTTAGTCTAAACACTTTTTTTTAAAGCTCAGCCAAGAGACTCCATTATAATTTTCAAATGTGTGTAACTTAAATTCTCATATGAAATACCACTATGCTTAAATTAGTCAAAATACTTTCCCCATCTACAACTCTATCTTGTCATTGCAGTCATTTTCACAAAAGTGACTGCAGCTCACTGACCCTAAAAGGAGAAAATCCAGGGTAGGTTATCTGATCTAGTTAGTTTCAAAGACAGGATCTAGAGATTATTTAATATGAAATAGGTCACCTGAAATGAAGTGTTTACTGAAAACAGCTTGGGTCAGCCCACTTTTCTACCACTGAACCATTCATTTGGTTTAAAAAACACAACAACTCTGGGAAATATCGGCTGCTTCCAACTGTGTTGAAGGTGTTAAAGAAAAGAGCATAAAATTAAAAATGATCATCTGAGGCCTTTATAGTCTCTGCTCAAGAGACTAGAGTCTTCCATTCTTAACGAAACACCCAAATATCTTAATAATTGGGCAAAATCTAAATATCAGAGATAATTTTATCTTGAAGATTGCTGAATTATAATGGTGATTCACTACCTTGCCACATCTCTGAGTCAAAAATTAGGTCTTTGTTTAGGAATCAATGGTGCTCTGCAACTTGGAAATAGGAAGATTTTAGAAGACTCAGACATTGACTTTCTTGTGTGCAAAAAAAAGACATATTGAGGTAAGACAAGTCTTTCCTTGCAAGGATACCTGTAATGCTCATACACCACCTCCCTTAACATTAATATAGCTTCCAGGTCACTAACCAGTGTCAGAGAGCAGCCCATGCAACTAGAAATTCAAAAGATGTAGAACATAGGGTCAAGCCTAGAATAATAAGTCTTAGCTAATTAAGTATGCTTTTTTCCCGAAATTCATATTAACAAAATCTTGGATATGTCAGAGAACGCATTCTAAGTTCACTCAACCTAGGAGGGAGAAACATAATTTTAAATTAAGAGCTGAAGCATTCTTGTCCTAACAGAAAGCAAGGAAAACGAAATATCACACCACAGGAGGGATTTCACAAACTAGTGTCAACATGAATACCTTAAAATAGGCAAGGAGAATGCAGATTCACAATGAATTCTTGTACTTGTTTTGTTGAGAGAAGAGATGGTTCTGAGAGAATGATAGTGAACTAACCCCAGCTGGTTTAGTTGGTGCTTTCAACTGCTGCTTCTGATCAACTCCTTTAGCTAGAATAAATTTATGAGGATTTTGGCATGTGGTATTAGAGATGGTTATTAATTTTTTCCTCTTATTTGCATTGTTCAATGTAGTAAATATTAGCTGTATATGGCTACTTCAATTCAAATTAATTACAATGAAATATACTTAAATATTGAATTTTTTAGTCACTCTTGGTTCATTATTGAATATCTTCAGCTAAGATTTCCCAACTAAAGACACTAAGAGGTGGCTTAGTTAACTGGTCGTCCAAAAATATTGAAGCTGTTGTTAACTCCTGATATATTCTCTGCAAAGAGAATATTCATGAGCCTCCTCCTGAAATCAGCAGCCTAGAGATAATTTTATAAATTGGATACAATTTGGAGATCTATATACTCTTTAAGTGTTTGAAATATTAGCTTCCCAGGGAAGAAAATCAAATTCATAAGATATGTAAGGACAATTTAACTCAAGATGTTTAAAACTGAAATGACATATTCTACAACATGTGATAAAAACCACCCCCTAACAACTTAAAGCAAAACAGCGATTGACCTTAAAGACCTGCCTTTTCCTCATCCCCCAGCCAATCAGTTTTCAAATCTTGCATTTTATTTCGAAAGGTCTTTATCCCCCTGGTCTCTTGTTTCTAGACTTGGCACATATTTAAGTTTGTTACCTCTCTCTACTGACTTTTCTCTCTTCAAACAGTATCTATGCCTGCCAAATGTGAACATACAAAAAACAAATCAGAATGTGCCATTCTGATTTAAACTGCTTATTAGTTAATACCCTCAAGATAACATCTGGGTTCTTAGCTGCAATGAGTCAAGCCTACTTACAACTTTTTTTGTCTTTGACTGCACAATTCCTATCACATCACACTCCAGAAATGCCAAGCTGTGCCTGCCTTCTACCCCATCTCCACTATTTTGCCCTCCGCCGCCGCGGCGTTTTGGCCCCCATCACCGCGGTTTTTGCCCCCCCACACCCGTGCCGCGGTTATTTGCCCGCCGCAGCTTTTTGCCCCCCCGCCGACGCGGCTTTTTGCCCCCGCCTGTGCCGCGGTTATTTGCCGGCCGCGGCTTTTTCCCCGCCCTGGCTTTTTGCCCCCCGCCGCCGCGGCTTTTTCCCCACCGCGGTTTTTTGCCCCCCCGCCGCATCGGGTTTATGCCTGCAGCGGCTTTTTGCCCCCCGCCGCTGCGGATTTTTGCCCGCCAAGGCTTTTTGCCCCCCGCCGTGGCGGCTTTTTGCCTGACCCGGCTTTTTGCTCCCCCGCCGCTGCAGCTTTTTGCACCGCCGCCGCCGCGGCTTTTTGCCCCCCGCCGCCGCGTCTTTTTGTCCCCCCGCCGCTGCGGCTTTTTGCCGGCCGCGGCTTTTTGCACCCCCGCCGCCTCGGCTTTTTGCCCCCCGAGGTCGCTGCTTTTTGCCGTCCGCCGCTGCGGCTTTTTGCCCTCCGCTGCCGCGGTTTTTTGCGTCTTTGTGCCCCCGCCGCCATGCCTTTTTGCCCCCGCTGCGGCTTTTTGCCGCTGCGAATTTTTGTCTCTGTCGTCGCCGCTTTTTGCCCCCGCCGCAGTGGCTTTTTGTCCCCGCCGCCGGGGCTTTTTGCCGCCGCGACTTTATGCCCCCGCCGCCGCCGCTTTTTGCCACCGGGGCTTTTTGCCCCCGCCGCCGAGGATTTTTGTCCCCGCCGCAGAGGCTCTGAGGGCCGGAGCAGCAGACTCTGCTGCCAGATCTACTGGCATCCTGGCAAGGGCAGCGCCGAGGGGCGCTCCTGGTCCAGCTCTCCTGGCTCAGGGGTTTCTTGCCTAGGCGCCGGCGCCCCAGGCTCCCTGCCTAGGCCCTTGTGGCCTGCATAGAGCGGCACTGCGCGCGGAGGCAATGGGAGAGAAGGAGGGCGGTGGCGGCGGTGCTGCTGCGGCCGCGGAGGGTGGCGCAGGGGCTGTGGCCAGCCGGGCGCTGCAACAGTGCGGGCAGCTCCAGAAGCTCATCGTCATCTTCATTGGCAGCCTGTGCGGGCTGTGCACCAAGTGCGCTGTGTCCAACGACCTCACCCAGCAGGAGATACAGACCCTGGAGGTAAGGGGTTCGGGGACCCGGGCTGGGATCCAGGAGCGGCCCGGACACCTCCTTCGGGGCCGCAGTTGACTCCTGGCCGAGTTGCATCCTTGAGCCCATGTCACCCCCTTGGAGGCTTCCCCTCCCTCCTGCGCTCGCTGATGTGCCAGCCGGAGGACCCAGGAACAGCCCTCACCTTGGGTAGGATTTGTGGAGCTGGTGCGTGGTGGGAACTGAGATGGAGGCTCCAGGGTCCCGTGGGGGTGGGGGTGGGCTGCGCGCGGACATCCCCTTACCCTCTGAATTTCCATCTGGTCCAGCCCTCTCATCTTGTAGGTGAGGAAACCGAAGGCCTGAAGGAGAACTGACTTGCCAGGAACCCCTGTTAAGGAGAATTAACAAAGTGTGGTTATTAAAGAAGAACTGAGTTGGGAGTCAGACCTGGAGGCCCGCACCCTTGGTTAAGACATTACACCACCTTGAGTCTGGCCTGTTGACTGAGGGTGAGCCACTCCATCCTCGTCTGATTGTGGGGTCTTGACCTCAAGGGGTTTCCTGCAGGAAGAAGCAAATGGGTTTGCTTTCCTAGCTCTGTCCAGTACCTTAGGGACCCTGAGGACTGAAGAGATTCTTGGACAGCCATCTGGTGTATGTCATGGGTGGGCCTTTTTTGAAGGTCAGTCTGACCAGTGGGCTGGCTCAGCCGAAATGAACTGTCTTGAATCTTTGGAGTTGTCTGTGTACTTTTAAGGGCTTCTCAGGCTTGCACCAAAAGATCCCCCATGGAAATTAGGTGGGAAAACCTTAACTTTTGTGGGGCCTTGTGTTTGTCTTAAAAGTTCATGCACATGGCCAGGTGTGGTGGCTCCCACCTGTTATCCTGTCCTGGATCCCTTGAGTCAAGGAGTTTGAGACCAACCTGGACAATATAGTGAGACCCCCATCTCTACAAAAAATAAAATGTTAGCCAGGGGTGGTTGTGCGCATCTGTAGTCCCAGCTACTACTGTGGCTGAGGCGGGAGGAGCACTTGATCCTCCACTGAGCTGTGATCTCACCAGTGTACTCCAGCCTGGGCCACAGAGCAAGACCGTGACTCAAAAAAAAAAAAAAAAAGACAGAAAAAATTCTTGAAGATTTTGCATTCTGTCCCACTATCCATTGGTTTTCATGTCAAGATAATGTCAGAAATTCTTTACAATTGCTTCCAGAAGGAGTAGCCTTTTGATGTACTGCACAGGTGTCCAGTCTTTTGGCTTCTCAGGGCCACATTAGAAGAAGAATGCTCCTGGGCCGCACATAAAATACACTAATGCTAAAAACTGCTGATGAGCTTAAAAAAAAAAAGTTTGTGCATAATTTTCATGATACCCACCACCACAGATAGGCGGAAAAGTCCTTGTAGTCAAAGGGTTGGACACAGCTGATCTAGTGTCTTGTCGTCTGTTTTGGCTTTCTCCCTGATTCCAGAATGCAGGTAGAGATGTAGAGACAGGCTCTCAGGACAGCTGTTGAGATAAAAAATTCGTTGTCATTTATTCCCAAGCACAGCTGTTTCTCATTGCATTGAAAAAGTCTCCATTCAAACTCCTGTCACGTATGAAATCTATTTATGTAAGTGTGTATTTTTCTGTTGTCTTGGCCTTTGTAGGCAGTAGTGTGTTTTAACCGAGCAAACTGTCCTTCCGAATAATGAAGCCGAAGTCAGCCTACCTGCTTGCCATTTTTCTTCCCCTTCCATTTTTGTAACCTCAGAATAATTGTAAGAATGAATTAAGATTTGTGTTTAAGGCCAGGCACGGTGTCTCAGGCCTGTAATCTCAGCAATTTGGGAGGCGGAGACGGATGTATCGCTTGAGCTCAGGAGTTGAAGACCAGCCTGGGCAACATACTGAGACTCCGTCTTGTATAATTTAATTAAAATTTAAAAAAAGAAGAGAAAAAGACCTGTGTTTAAAATTTTAAAAAGGGGGGAGAAAGTGTAATGCAAAATGTGGACTATGCCAGCTATGATTGGAAAAACCGGTTTTTCATGCAGCATTATCTGTAGACTTGTATTAGCAGCGTACTCGTCATAAGCGTTTTGCTTTCCTCAAATATGATGAGGTAAGCTAATTTAAAGTTTGTTGGGGCTTTCTGCCGCGTGGCTCCTGGAGGTGTTGGGTCTCAATTTAGCCAATTAATTTGGGTTTAGTTTTGACATGGATAAGGGAGACCAGCTTCATTCATGGTGTACACACTGTTTTGCCAATAAGGAAAAAAAAAAGCCACCTGAATGTTCCTACTCATTAGATGCTATCTGGAAAGCTCCTACCCCACCCCCACCAAGGCCCAGGCCATTAAAAAGACTCAATGCAGGCTTTCTGTATCTCATACTGTATTCTGCAAGATACTCCTGTGAAAGAAAGTTGTGCTGCATCAGCCATCTACCTCCTGAAGATCCCTGCGGATAAGGATTTGTGTTTTGAAAGTTCTGAGAATTCCTGCAACAACAATTCTCAAACTTATTTGTCCATGGGATCTTTTCTTCCACTGAATGTAGTTGGGGAGACACGGCCTTAAGCCTTGAGCAGAGAAAGAGACAAGAAACTGTTGGCTCACTTACAACCAAGTGTTGTGTTTATGTTTTAGGTTTTTATGAAACTGAGGTGCTGTTTGAGGTTCTAAATGAAATTGGGTGGTTGAAGAGAGGCTGGTATCCCTGTAGACTTAGCCAGCCATGAGAAGTTGCCTTTTGTTGAAGGAGGTGTTTTACAAAGGGAAATAGGGTGTCTCCTGGGCATCGCATTAGAACTTAAAAACATGTAACACTGAAATGAAATGAAATGATGAAATGATGAAATGAAACGAAATGATGAAATGAAGAAATGAAATAATGAGATGAAATGATGAAAGGATGAAATGAAATGAAATGATGAAATGGAATGATATGAAATAATGAAATGAAATAAGTGAAATGATGAAATGAAATGATGAAATGATGAAATGAAATGAAATGATGAAATGATGAATTGAGGAAATGATATGAAATGATGAAATGAAATGATGAAATGAAGTGAATGATGAAATGATGAAAAAATGAAATTAAATGATGAATTGATGAAATGATGAGATGAAAAGTTGAAAAGAAACGAAATGATTAAATGAAATGAAGAGATGAAAAGATGAAATGAAATGATGAGATGAAATGAAATGAGATGAAATGATGAGATGAAATAATGCAATGAAAGATGAAATGAAGAGATGAAGTGAAATGATGAAATGATGAAATGTAATGAAATGATGAAATGGAATGATGAAATGAAATGATGAAATGGTGAAATGAAATGAGGAAATGAAATGAAATGAAATGATAAGTGAAATGATGAAATGAAATGATGAAAAGATGACATGAAATGAAAAGATCAAATGGTGAAATGAAGAAATGATATGAAATGATGAAATGAAATGATGAAATGAAGTGAAATGATTAAATGATGAAATAATGAAATGAGATGAAATGATGAATTGATGAAATGAAATGATCAAATGAAATGACGAGATGAAAAGATGAAATGAAATGATGAAATTAAATGACGGATGAAATGAAATGAGATGAAATGATGAGATGAAATGAAATCATGAGATGAAGAAATGATGAGATGAAGTGAAATGATGAAATGATGAAATGACGAAATGCAACAATGAGAAGAAATTATGAAATGAAATAATGACATGAAAGGATGAAATGAGATGAAATGAGGAAATGAAATGATGAAGTGAAATGATGATGGAATGAAAAGAAGAAATGATGAAATGATATGAAATAATGAAATGATGACATGAAGTCAAATGATGAAATGATGAAATAAATGAAATGAAATGATGAAATGAAATGAGATGAAATGATGAAATGATGAGATGAAAAGATGAAATGAAATGAGATGAAATGAAATCATGAGATGAAATGATGAAATGAGATGAAGTGAAATGATGAAATGTTGAGATGAAGTGATGAAATGAAATGATGAAATGAAATGAAACAATGAAATGAAGTGAAATGAAATGAGATGAAATGATGAGACGAAATGATGAATTGATGAAATGAAATGAGATGAAAACATGAAATGAAATGATGAAATGATGAGATGAAAACATGAAATGATGAGATGAAATGAAATGACGAGATGAAATGAAATGATGAGATGAAATGATGAAATGATGAGATGAAGTGAAATGATGAAATGAAATGTTGAGATGAAATGATGAAATGAAATGAAAGAATGAAATGAAATGATAAAATGATGAGATGAAATGATGAAATGAGGAAATTTGATGAAATGATGAAATGATGAAATGAAAGGATGAAATGAAATGATGAAATAGATGAACCAAAAATACTTATTCATTTTTTTTTTTTGGCATCCTTCTAAGAGTATTTTAGTGAGGTTAATTTCTAAAAATAAACTGCGATTCAATGGTTATACAGTTGACCTTTGCACCACAGGGGTTTGAACTGTGCACGTCCACTTAGCAAAACCAAGAATTCTACATCCTTATCCACACCCTGCCCATGAAAAGGATGAGGATGAAGACCTGTTTGATCATCTACTTCCATTTAATAACTAGTAAATATATTTTCCTTATGATTTTCTTTTTTCTTTTCTCTGGCTTGTTTGTTAAGAATACAGTATATAAGACATATAACATTAAATATGTGTTAGTTGACTGTGTTATTTGTAAGGCTTACAGTAGGCTATTAGTAGTTAAGTTTTGGGGGAGTCAAAGTTATAGTGGATTTTCTACTGTGCAGGGGGGCCAGCACCCCAACCTCCGTGTTGCTTAAGGGTCAACTGTACATGTTATTTCCTTTCCTGTAAGAGAAAAATGATGAGAAGGTCTTTTCTCCAATAAGTGTCTTCAAAATGTAGCAGATGTGAAATGTGTTGGCGCCACCATTTTGCGTCTCACTTTGAAAACTTATTATTTAAAATCGTACTAAAGCCTACCTTACTTTTCCAACCTTAGAAAAAATGTTCCAAAGAAAAGGGGTGAAACCATGCTAGTTTGCCCTGAAATTTGAAATTATCTTTTAAAAATATATTTTGACATTAATTACTTCCAAAATAGAGATCAGTTGCATACAAATGGCAGGTCACCCTAATCCACCCTATGACTGCACTTAGATTCATGAGGAATTGTGCCATCTAGAAGGGGCGGAGAGGAGGAATAGAGTGCTCTGCATCTTGAAATATAAACATGCACATAGCCACATGCTTTGATTCTGTTGTCACTGTATACTTACTGCTAGGAAGAGGGCATGTTTGTGTATTTTTATGCTAATTATTATCCAAGTTGTTAATGATTTACGCTTTCAGAACCATATAAAGATTTTTTCCTTTCAGATATAAACTATCTTGCATTGTTCTTCTGATCATATGAGGGATAAATTTGCCTAAATATTCTTCAGACCATAATAGTATGTCCATATAAATGCCAGTAGCAAGAGTAGAATCAACCACAACTGCCTATGTAATTATTTAAAGCATGTCTGCCTATAAGTAATTGGCATTTTATATAATCAAGTATCTTTGATATAATAATCTCTACTATTTGAAACATGGCTCACATGTATTAATTTTCTATGCAAATATATATATATACTATCAGTGTATACGAAACTAAATTTTGGACTTTACAACAGCTTCTTAGAATCCTGACTTAAATGTCTACAGTAATAGTTGGCTTAAAAAAATTTAGCAAACTGTCACTATGATGAAAAAAATTACTATAAAATTATTTTAAAAATTTTTCCACCCTAACATTTAGAATATTCTCACATTTGTGGTTAAAACCTATTGTGATTGTTCTTAGAATTTAGATAAAAAATGTTCCAGAAAGTTTGAAGAGAAGCACTTTAGTCAATTTTTAGTTGTTGAAGCATGAGGAAATGGCATTTCATTGACATTTTAAAAATTATTCAGATTCCCTCTTTGAATTCAAGTGTTTCAAAGATATCTTATTTTAAAATACCAAAATAGGAATAGAATATGAAGGGCTGGTTATGAGTAATATGATACACTTTTATGAGAGGATGAGATTACAATAACAATACCTCCTCTCATAGAATAGCCAGCAAGTCTCCACTAAATAACAGTGCCTTGATTTTATAGATGTTTAATCATGGATATCGAGTTAATGTGAACCATTTGTAGACACAGGAGTTTATTAAAGAATTATATAATATCTTTCAAGTATTTAGAATAGTGTTGAAATTAAGCCTGCATCCCCACGATTTTCAGCGGTGCTGATGCCTAATAAACTCAACCCCTTGCATGCCAAAATTGTCTTAAAGCCCATCTGTTACCCAAGCTACACTTCAAACATCAAGGTTCAAAAATGTGATTTTGAATATGCAAGAGTTTGAGGAATTCACTACTCACACTTTCTTGAACAGTCTATCCAAGTGCATCAAGCAAAATGTGAGTAAAGAAATTTTGACCAAAGGATTGATAGTAATGTTGAATACATTTAATAGTAGATCTAAGATTAAAAGGTGAAAGTGAGGGTGAGAAGAGTGTATGAATGCTTTGTGTTCTGACAAAGAGAATGTAGCACCCAGGTCCTACCTGCTTGGATGCATTGCCAGTGCCCAAGGTAGGCCATTTTATCCAGGTTTTTAGGTTTTGTTTTGTTTTTTCTTTTCAGGAGAGTTAGTCCAAGACCAATAACTCCATAACTGGTAGATTTGGAAGACTTTAATAGTGCTTAACATTTTGTACTTAGCCTTATAACAGTTTTCTTTTTCTTTTTTTCTGAGAGATTCTTTTCAATATACCCCATCATGGTTGAACTCAAAAATCATTGCTTATTTAAAATCTACAACTGCTGACGTTTTGTAACGTTCGCATTCCAGGTAACTGTTTTTTTGTGCATTTTCCGTATTTTTCTCCATCAGTCTACCTAGATATTTGTTAGATTTAATATTTTAATATTTTTCTGAAAAAGTGAGCTTTTGCATTTTTAAATATGTACCCAGTTGCTTTAATTCTGCTTTTTCGTCTGTTATTTCCTCGTTTTTTTTTTTATTTTTTTTTTGACACCGAGTCTTGCTCTGTCGCCCAAGCTGGAGTGCAGTCGCGTGATCTCTACTCAGTGCAACTTCCACCCCCAACGTTCAAGCAATTCTCCCATCTCAGCCTCCCGAGTGGCTGGGATTACAGATGCATGCCACCATGCCAGGCTAATTTTTGTATATTTAGTAAAGAGTGGGTTTCACCATGTTAGACCAGGCTGGTCTCGAACTCCTGACCTCAGGTGATCCACCTGCCTCGGCCTCCCAAAGTGCTGGGATTACAGGCGTGAACAATGGCGCCTGGCTATCTCCTTCATTCTTTATGTTTATTTTACTGGTTTTATCTCTCTCTCTCTCTCACTGTTTCTCTCCTTCTCACATTCACTTTGCAGTTGCCAAATAGCCCAGGTGATGTTACAGATTTACTCCTTATAAAAGGAGGCATTACACATTACACATGCATCTTAGTGGCCTTACAAAAGTGTTGGGTTTATTTGTATTGAGTATTCACCTTTAAAATATTTCAATATTCATTAAAATAGCTTCCAACCAATATTATTACACTTATGTGTCTAGCTTTCGTTTTTGTATTGATATCTGTCTTCATTGCTGTTTGTTTAGGAAATATATTGTGTGTCACGTTATTTCCGTGAAAATTGTTTGAATTTGTAGTATGGCCTAGAAAATGTTAATTTTTGTAAGTATTCTGTATGAACATGAAAATAACATGAATTATAATATTCATGTTCCTTATATAATATTTGCCCTTTTTAAAATCCACTAGCTTCTTTTAAAACTTACTCTTTTATTTTTTTCTTTTATCTATTACTGAAAGACGTGTGTTTGAAATGTCTATAATATTTGGGGGCTGATCCATTTCTAATTACTTTCTGATATTTTTGCTTTATATAATTTGACTCTCTCTCTAAATAGGTGTGTGTCTGTGTGTGTGAGAGAGGGTGTGTTGTTTGTGTGTATATACATACGTATGTATCAGGCTAATGCACATTTAAGTCATCACATATTCTTAATAACTTAAAACTTTTATCACCCTGGTTAGACTAACATATTTTAACAAATGTTTCTAACTTACATTCTATTTTGTCTACATAGCAACTTTTTAAAAAATTATATTCATGTAGTATGTTTGTATGTATATCATATATACACAGTATCTGTATTGTTTGAACTTCAAAGTTCCTGTAAATTTATATATTAGTTGCCTCTCTTGTAACTATGATAGAGACGGATGTTTTAAATTTTGCCAATCTTTGTATTTTAACAAAAACATTGTCTACTTAGGTTTAAGTTAATCTTTGATCATTTATACTTAATTTTGTATTATTAATTTGTTGTGTGTATATATATAATGTCTCATCTTCTCCTATCACTTTCTGTCTTCTTGTTTAAAAATTATGACTTTTATTTTTATTGTTTTCATAGATACAACAGAGAAATGCATAATGTCCAGTCAATTTATTAAAGTTCGAAAGTCGGTCGCGCGCAGTGGCTCACGCCTGTAATATCAACACTTCGGGAGGCCGAGGCGTGTGGATCAGGAGGTCAGGAGTTGGAGAATAGCCTGACCAACCTGGTGAAACCCCGTCTCTACTAAAAATACAAAAATTAGCAAGGCATGGTGGTAAGCAGCTGTAATCCCCGCTACTCAGTAGGCTGAGGCAGGAGAATTGCTTGAACCTGGGAGGCAGAGGTTGCAGTGAGCGGAGATGACGCCACCGCACTCCAGTCTGGGAGAAAGAGTGAGTGAGACTCCTTCTCAAAAAAAAAAAAAAAAAAAAAAAAAAAAAACGAGATGCAAAGTCATACCTTTCTGCTCTTGTCAGACAATTAAGGGGTCTTTGAATACTTCAGTCCTAATAGTTTGCTTCCTAACATACATATTTCAGTGCTTATCCAATTTTAAATATCCTTTTGTTTCAACACCTAATTTTTTATTTAGATCTATCTGTATGTTTACAATGTATTTTGCTCTGTGTTCATTCTTTGACTTCAGAACTTCAATCTTTCTGAAGCATGTTTTCAGAGTTTCTTTTTAGTTTCTTTAGTGGAATTCTGCTGGTGGCGTTTTGTTTTTTGTCTCTAAATATGTTATTTAGCCATAGGTTGATGAATATTTTTCTTGGTTGAGAATTTCAGAATGGCATTATTATTCTTAACAAATAATATTGTTTATTTTACCTTTCATGCTTTCAGATTTCTGTATGATTATAGGTAATTTGATTTTTCTAGTGCTAATTGAAATATTTTTCCCTTCCTAATTCTTTACTATTTCTCTAGGAGATATGTAGATGTAGGTTTATCTCCATTGTAGCTTGCTTAGCATGCATAGAAGTTTTGAATATGCGGATTAATGTCTTACAAAAGTCTAGAGAACTTTCAGCCAAAATACCATCACATATTGTCCCTTCCCAGTTCCCTTCTTCTATGAGAACACTCACTAAACACATGCTACACTTTCTCACTGTATCTTCCATGTCTCTTCATGATTCTCTCCACATTATGCCTTTTTTTAAATTTTCTGTAATGCATTCTGAAATATTTATGAACTCTCACCATGGCCATGTCTAATCTGATGAGTTCATTTTTGAGTTTTTAATTTAAAATACTATATACAAACTACTTTTCAAATTTGCTACATCAATTTTTTAGTCTCTTAACAATATATTCTTTTTTTTTTTAAATTTTTTGAAAGCAAATGTGCTTTATAATCTAACAGTGATATTTCTACTAATGAACCTTTGTGGATCTGTTTGTACTCTTTTTCTGCTTTCCTTTCAAATGGTGGAATATCATTTCCTTGCGTACTTAGATGCCTTTGAATGACAAAGATTTATTTTTCTCTGAAAATTTTTATTGTGCACTTTTGCATGTTAGTAAGAAGAAAATTTGCCAAAGAGAATTTGAAGTTTTTGTGAGTCTACTAAAGGCACCACCGTTCTGGGATCACATTATATTAATTCTTGGCCTAAAGGTGTTTGGACTTATATTTGGACAGCACATTTAAACAATTTTTAAATTAATTGCTGTAAATCATTAATGATTGATTTTCTTTAAATCTGTGCAATCTCAAGTCATTTTTATTTGCCATTTCCAGGGAATGTGAAATGGGACTAATTTACCTCTGATTCTTCTTTATACTGAGCATATAAAATTTGGTGCTAGCTTTAGGGAAGAGCTCCTTTGTGATGCCCTATCTTGGGAAACACTATGTATTTCTTCACTGTCCTATGTGATGTATGACAGTAGGAATCTGCACTCATTCATTTTGATACATGTCCGTAGGGCAAAATCAGTTTCAGTGTTTAGGTGTATTTTGTCTGCTCCCTGCATTCCCATGGTTTTGACCTTATATTTTACTTTTTTTTGTGAACATACCAATGCTTCAATTTTTTTCCAGTAATATAATCAACTATACTATAAGAAAGAGAAAAATTTTGATAAAACACAAATTTCATGTTTTCCTACTCTAATTGGCTTTTACGTAAAATTTATTTGTGCTTTTTTGCTATTTCTGTTTTGCTATTCTCTGTTTGTCTATGTCTTCTCCACATAGACACAATTAGGGAATTTTGTACACTCTTGTGCCAACTGCTTTGATAGTAACAAAATGTATTTCTCGAACTCCTAGGTATAAAACTCAAGTATCCACAATTTAACTTCTTTTTTGCTCACTTCTATTATGTTTCCAGTCTCAATAGAAATCGATATCAATCCAGAAATACAAGCATTATTCTAATACTTCTCACACATTACTGATATAGATTAAATTTTCTAAATCTCCTTAAATACTATCATTTTTCACTACTTGTATCTTAACTGTTAAGTTCAACATTTTCTGTAATATTAATATATTGTGAAAATTTCCTTACTTTCTTATTTGTCCCAGGTTCAATGTTTTGCAGACTCTACCTCACCCTGTGAAGCATAAACATTGTACATGCTGTACAAATAACACATCGTTCATGTACTTAGAGATTGCACAATTTTTATTTGGTTGACAATGGCTAATGTTTTCTTCTTCATTTTCTATTTCCTGATTTTTCTTTATTTAGTATAGACTACATTGTCATAAAAATGAGAAGGTTTTACAAACTAAAGCAAAAGCAACCCTAGGAATAAAATGCACAAATAAAATATATAAACATACGTTTAGATATACCACTTACCCTTGTAATTTATTTAGACCTTTAATTTTAGTACAATTTTAATTAAAATCTGTGTATTATCTGTCATCGTCTTAGTATTTTTTATATAACAAATTTTGTAAATCAAAAAGTTTCAATGTCATTATATACTATCTTGGCAGAGGTTGATCTCCAAGGACTAATTTCTCTCCCAAATTATGCCAATCAGAATTTCACACTACCATAATTCTTTTAATCAGTTTCAGAGGAACAATAAATTTCAAAATTGTTCAAGGTACTTCTTTTAGTTCAAGTACTTTTTGACAGGTGTAGAACTGTAGACAGACTAATGCAAACATATTCTAATTGACTCAAAATTATATGGGACCTATTTTAAAATCTAGATTTTAAAATGTCGTTTCAACATACACATGTTCTCCTTGGGAAATAATTGCTTTTTATTCTCTGGATAGAATAATTTAATCTTTAAACTTTCAATTCACTGTTAGAAACAAAATATTACATAAGGATATGCTTATAAAAATAATTCCCAACTAGCTTTTCAATTCAGAATTACATGTGAAAAATCATCAAACATCTAGTTGATTTCAAGGAGAAATGGGTTAGTAATTTATTCCATATGTCTCAATTTTTCCTAGACTCAAGGCTTCCTTTAAAATAATTGTAGGCATTTAAGAAACCATGTAAACTAAAAAGAAGAAATTGTGACACTGCCGCTAAGGATTTTTAAATATTTGGACATGATTCAATATATTTTTTAAATTGTATCTTAATTAGACATTATGAGTTCACCATCTTCCTGTCAGTATAGCATCCAAGCTGATTATCATAGATTAGAAGTTCAACTATCAACTGAGTTCTGAGAGTGTAAAAAAATAAATGAACGTATTTGTTTGGGTATTCTTAAAGCAGGAGTGAGGACACAGCGAAAGTGAGACAAAGAAAAGAGGACAAAATAAAACAGGAAAGATAGAAAAGCCAATACCACACGTGTTAAGAGGTAAGTTCCTGTGTTAGATATCTGGGCTTAATTTTATGGGAAGCTATGTGGAGCATGCCTCAGAATTACATCACTGAATCCAGGGAGATTCTTCTTAGTTACCCTCACCTTTTCTTCCCACTTCATGCCCAGTAACAAGGTCCCGTGCTGTTAGAGAAAGTCCTCAGCTAGAAACTGGTGCAAATTCTGGAGATGAGACCTTGTAGAGTGTTAAGAATGGTTTTCCACCCAGCAGCTACAGGTAAGGAATAGGGGCTGGGCTATTAATACATCTACTACAAACCAATAAAGCCCTTATGCTCCTTTTGTTGATCAACAATGTATTTAAAAATATTAGATGATCAAGAAGGGCTGCAGAAAGGAGGAAACAGAAACAAACAGCACACCTCTTGGTTTATTTTTATTCATTTCATCAGTTTCAAGGAAAATATGTTGGGAGTTCCTGGCATAGAGAATGTCACAAAGACATGTTTTCTTTTCTTTTTTTTTTTTTTTTTAATATTAGGTAAAATAAACTTTAATAGAGCAAAAAAATGTACAAGAGATAAAAGGTCACTAAACAATAATAAAAGGAATTTGTTCACCAATAACAGATTACTTTTAATCAATATTCACCCAGTCACATAGTCTCAAAATACATAAAACAAAAAATGCAAATAATGACAAGAAGAACCAGAGAGATCTACCATCAGAATAGAAGACTTAAACATATTTCTTCATAATTTTTAAATCAAGCAGGCAAAAAATCAGTTAAGATATAGAAGTTTAAACAACGTAACTAACATACCTGATGTGATGAACATACCTAGAACACTACATCCCCAAATGGAGAAATTCATATTTTTTCAAGCACACACTAAAAATTTATGAATATTTACTTCATAAAAGGCCATAAATCAATCCTCAACAAAGTTCAAAAGATGGCTACTATAGATCACATTCTCCACCTACAATGCAATTAGATTTAAAAATCAGTAACAAAGAAGTTACATAAATCATGTGTATTTAGAATTTAGGAACACTTTAACTCATGGTCCAAGGGAAATCACAGTGGGAATCAGAAGAAAATTATAATTAAGCAAAACTCATAGGATGTCTCTTAAGCCTTACTTGGAGGGAAATTTATAGCTTTGAAATGATTATATTTATAGAAGTTTTATCTCAGCACCAAGTCTGATACATAGTACTTACTAAACAAATGGTAGGCATAGCTAAATCTAGGTGTCTACACAGAATAAGGACATTATTATATTTATATCCCAAATAGTTTGTAAATTTTGTTCACAAAATATTGATACATTAATAACCATTTCTTTTTTAACTTAAATATATATGTACTTAACTTGTTAATTTGCAGCTTTTTTTTAAAAGACATGTTTTCAATAGTAGTGCTATCCCTAGGGCAGAGACGACCCAGAGAAAGCCTAAGTGGCTGCTGGAACAAAGTCAGACACCGTGTCACCTGTCCACACTCCTTGGCTCTGCCATCATGCTGAAGATCGCTTTAAAGGACTGGCTTCCCTTCCCCCAAAATTAAAAGAGCACAGACTGAGAAACTGAATGTGGGAGAGAGCAGTGGATTATGCTGTTCTCAGGGTTCACCTCAGGTTTGGAAGCATTCTTTCAAATTAACCCATCTCAGGCCAACTGCAGAGAAGAAAGGTGGTACCTAACTTTTTTTCTTGTCAGCATTTGGTAGGGGTGTTTTATTGACCAAATATGTTCCCACAACCTAATTTTTTGTAACTAAATATGGTAGATTTTTAAATTTTATCATCAAAATCTATAGACAATTTTTTATTAAAATAGGCTCCACTTCTATTCTTGTTTTTCTTCTTATTAATTACATTGCTGTATAAAAGAACAAGACTTCAGAATCAAGAATATCTTGTCTCTTGGCATTGAATTTATGCAAGGTGCTCTTTCTTTAATGCTGTCTCAAGTGACATATTTTTACTCATTAAAAAGAAAGATCGGAATCTAGTTGTATGCACTGCTCCAACATATTAATAATTTAAATTAGGAGGTAAATGTGGTCAAAGCTATAGAAAGACTGAGATGTCATTTATACTGATTACTGTATAGCATTCTACAAACAGAAATTGTTAAATAATAGTTTATATAAATATTTTGTAGCATTTCAAATATTTGAGTGTTTGAAGTTTCTCCTCTTATATAGCTCAGATTATCAATTTGAAGACTTACTCCGCTAGTTAATATGTTTTTAGTCTCGTTTGAGTATTATATAAAAGCAATTTTCAGTTAAATGTGTTCCGCTTACATAAAACATTACAAATTATTGAGGATTTAATTACTTATTCATGTTCCTGTAATGTCTTTAGAAGATTTTCTTATTATTACCTGTCAATATATGTATGCTGTGTCAAAGAAAAATCAAACATATATATCACTGAAATTGAAACTTTTTAAAAGTATTTATTAATTCTATTGAAAAACCACATCCATAGGAACAATTACAATATAATATTGTGAACATGTAAACATATACCCTATGTCTATTTTATGTATAAGCATGTATGATTAAAAATATAGAGAAGAATTTTTAAACCTAGTATTATAAAGTAAAAATTAGTTAACTTCTGATGATTATTTGTTAATTAAGATAAAATTATTTTGATTTGGGTGATTTTAAACGAACAATAATATTAAATTACATGACAAAAATTCTTTATAAAATGTTTATGATTTTTACATTGGTTTTATCACTTTATTCCACTATTTTATTTTAAGATGACCTGCCTTGTTTAAAACACTGTATTCATCTTAATTATATTAGATTCCATTTGTAAAATAATTAACAAATGATTTGCTCTATTGTACATTGCGGTTATAAGCTGAGTCAGTATCTCAAGATTTGATCCCCATTATCATCATCTGTGGCCCTATTTGCATTATAAATGTATTGTCTTTTTCCATGCCTGTCACATCTCTATTGCTCTTTCATTTTTCTCTTTGTCCCCTATAGGGAGCATTGCCTATCTCTAGATTAAGCAAAAGTTGCATCGTAAAAAAGCACAATAACCTGCTCAATCTTTCTCACACAGAGAAATGTTTGTTTAGTAATTAAAGTGTAGATGATGATACAAAGAGCTTGATTAAATTAGATGCCAAAGTACCCTTGTGATTCAGAATATGAATGGTATTTAATTTCTTTGAAATCATTAATTGCTGAGTGACATTAATTAATGCCAATATTCCAGAAGTTGTTCTAGTTAGTGAAATGTATACAACATGCAAAAGACTCAGAACTCTAAAGGGCAACGTTATTCTATAATTAAGAATTAAGAATTAATTCACATTAATTATTGGGGAGAAATAATTATTAAGCATTAATGACTGAGAAAATGTTTTCATTTTTTATTTAGAAAATTATTTTGTGCATGAGCATTACCGCAAGTTTTGTAAGAAACATAAATTTAAAGAAACAATTATGTGCACAAGATGAATTTAATAACATCTTGATATTTTCCACGATTGCGGTTTTATTTGGTAAATCTTTAAATGCACACCGTTTAAAGATAATAAATGAATCTTGGAAATCTTGTAGGTAAGGTTGAATATTAGGATGCATCCAGTTACATTTACACACACATACAGTTACATTTACACACACATACATGCATACAGACTGATTCACGTGTGTATATATATATGAATTTACTAATTGATTTTAACTAATATTTATAAGAGCCAGTTGGATTGATGTATATTGTTGAACCTGTAAAATATTTATTATATACATGTTTAAAATACACACAGAAATAAATAGTAATTGCACTAGGTATTTGAAACTGTACTAAAATATAAGCTGTGAATATTTTGTGATCATTACAAATTCTTACATTGAATAAATATTTTTATTTTTACAATATTAATATGTTTGATACCTGTGTACATTTTTTATAATGTGTTATTTTATTTTTGTCATAGAGTCATGTCATGCATAATAACATTTTAGTCAAAGATGGATTACATATACAAAAGTGGTCCCATGA
Organism: Homo sapiens; assembly: GCF_000001405.40. Taxonomy (NCBI): domain Eukaryota; kingdom Metazoa; phylum Chordata; class Mammalia; order Primates; family Hominidae; genus Homo; species Homo sapiens. Next base: position 61,009,127 of record NC_000007.14, read on the forward strand.
GTTTATAATAGATATTTTTACATGCTTTCTACGTTTAAGTATGTTTAGATACATAACCTTTTACCACTGTGTTCTTATTGCCTGCAGTATTCAGTACAGTAATGTAGTACACAGGTTTATAGCCTGGGGGAGAGATGCTATACCATATAAGCTACACGTGGTAGGCTGTACAATCTAGATGTTTGTAATGTTCTCTGTGATGTTTGCAAAATGATGAAATTGCCTATGGATACATCTGTTAGAACGTATCCCTATCATTCAGTGATGTGTGACTGTACAAAAATGCTCAATGTAAGTTTCAATGCCCTCCATAAAATTGTTTTACTGTGAAATACAAATCTCTCACCCATGGCCTGAATATGTTTGCAAACTAAGCAGATCATGGGAAGGAGAATGTGCTGGCATCGCTGGGATGATTTTCTCACACTACATGAATAATATCTACAAACTTCGTGAATATGAGCCACTTGCATAGAGTTAAAGTAGGCATCTCTTTGCTGGGAAATTTATCTAATGGGAGTATGAAGTGTTTTTAAAGATACTTGTTTGTTTGTAGCTGGTAGGCCTACAGTGGCTCATGGCAATGGTTGAGGTTGCTAAGATTTGGTGGAAGAAGGCAAAATGAAATGGCCACTTATATGGTATATGGTATATGGACCACTTGTTTCTTTTGAGTTACAGACTCAGCTGGCTATTTCTCCCAATGTTAGTTATTTGGAGAAAAAAGAAACGTGATGGTAATTTTGGGGTAACAAATACAATATTTGATGAAAGCAAATTTATTAAGGGTTAGACAAACTACAAGATACTTTAGGCTGCAAAGTCAACAAGAGACTTCTGGGCCAAATTGTGCAGAGTTTGCGTCCAGCTGCACAGTTCAAAGGAAGAGACCATGTAAGAAGATTCTCACTTCTGACAACAAATGCCAGTTCAGGGGTTTCCCCTGAACACCCTCAGATTCTAGAATTTACTAGAAAGACTCACAGAACTCATTGAATGCCATTGTACTCATGGTTTATAATAGAGAAAGGGTAGAAATTAGGACCAACTGAAGAGACATATCAAATAAGGTGGAATCTAGGAGATTTAGAATGTTAAGTTTCCGTTGTCTTCAGGACATATTACCTGTCATTTTTGTACAGCAATAAATATGGAGTACTACCAACCTGGGGAGCTCACCTGATGCTAAAAAGACACTATTTAGAAAATGAAAAGACAAATGATAGGATGAGGTAAGATGACCTTCCACATTAAGGCACTGGAAAGTTTAGCAAACTAAACCTAAAGCAAGCAGAAGGAAGAAAATAAAAATTAGAGAAATTAATAATTTATAATAATAATATTTGTTAGTGTTGAATAATTGATATTAATTCTTGACTAGCTTTTTTAAAAAAGAGAAATATTCACTTCCTAATTTATTCTGTGGGGCCAGTGTTACCTTGATACTTAAATTAGTCCAAATAGTATAGAAAAAAAACTACTCTAATTATAAATGCAAAATTCCTTAAAAAATACTAACAAATCAGATCTAGCAACATATAAAAGAATTACACACTATGACAAAGGCAACTTTATACAAGTAATCCCAGGTTGGTTTAACAGCCCAAAATCCATTAAGATAATACATCTTATCCATAGAATAAGAAACGAGAATTGCATGATCATCTCGATAGATTCGGAAAAGACATTTAACAAAATCCAAATGCTTTAATGATTAAAAATAAAAACTCAATGAACCAGGAATAGAGAACTTTCTACACCAGATATATGGCACCTGTGAAAAGCCAACAGCAAGCATGCAACTTAATGGTAAAGGATGCTTTCCCGCTATGGTCAGAGATAAGAATAGGATATATAATTTGACCTCTTCTAGTCAACACTGTACTAAAGATTTTATGCAGGGCAAATCGGCAACTAAAAAAATAAGAGTCACCCATATTGAACAGGAAGAAATAAAACTTGATTTGAAAATAACATTCTTGTATATAGAAAATTTTAAGGAATCCACTGAACGATAGAACTAGTAAATTATTTCAGCAATATTACAGCATACAAGATAAATGTACAAAAATCAATTGCACACATCTACAATGAAAACCCCTAAACGAAATTAAGAAAACACTTCAATTTAAAATAGCATCAAAAAAAGAAATAATAATTAATTTGGAAAATGTGATACAAGATTTTACTCTGAAAATTAAAAATTATTGTTTAAAGAATATCTAAATAATTAGCAAACATCTTCCACCCATGAATTGGAAGATTTAATATTGTAGTACTTTACAATTTGAACTACAGTTTTGATGAAATCCCTGCAGGTATCCCAACAGACTTCTGTCTAGAAACTGACAAGCTGATTCTAAAATACACATGGAAATGTAAGGGACTCAAAATAGCCAAAATAATCTTGAAAAAAGAAAACATATTAGGATAATTCACACCCCCATTCTCCAAACCTTACAGCAAAGTATCAGTAATCAAGACAACACAATACTGATGAAGGAAAAATATAGAGATTGATGGAAGAGAATCGAGAGTCCATATATAAATCTATGTGTCCATAGTCAATGGATTCTTACAGTGGTTCCATGTGCAATTCAATGCGGAATAGACAGTTTTTGGACAAACTAGGTCAACAACGTACACGTGGGTCACCACTTGCAAAATAATAAATTCGAATCCTTACCCCAAAGCATACAATAATATTAATTCAAAAGAATTAAAGACACACATGCAAGAGCTAGAATAAAGCATATGCGAAAATCTTCAGGATTTTGGATCTAGCAAAGAAATAGCTGTAACACCAAAAACATGAGCAACAAAATAAAAATTAGATATTTAAAATTTCTTAAAAATTAAAGACATTGGTGTTTCAAAGGACAACCAAGCAAGTCAAGAGGCAGCTCAAAAATTGTGAGAAGATAATTGAAAAACACGTATCTATATGTCTGTATATATATCTTGAATATAGAAAAATTGTTTTAACTCAGTAACAAATATCCCAACTCAAAACTGATAAATGATAGGAATAGATGTGTTTCCCAAGAAGACACACGAACGGTCAATAATCCCATAAAAACATACCCAATAGCATCACTCATCAGGAAACTACAAATCAAAACCACAGTTAGATACTCTATGGCTAGAACTGGCCACTTTGGAAAATAATTTGATGGCTTCTAAATATGTGAAACATAGAATTGTCATATGACCCAGAAATTTATTCCTAGGTATACACCCAGATTATTGGAAAGAGGTGTTCAAACACAAATTGTACACAAGTATTTTTAGCAGCAGTATTTAAAATAGCCAAAGGCTGAACACAACTCAAATGTCAATAAAAATATTATTGGATAAACAAAATGTTATATCCATGAAATTGAATGTTATACAGTTATAAAAAGAAATAAAGTACCAATACGTACATGAACCTTGATAGCATTATGCCGCTGAAAGAAGCCAGGCAGAAAAGGCCACCTATTGTATGATTCTATTTAGATGAAAACAGAATAGGAAAATCTATAGAGACAGAAAACAGATTTGTGGTTGCTTAGGATTGAGTAGGGGATGGGTGAATAGGAGATTAACAGCTAGAGAAGGTGGGGTTTCTTTTCGAAGTGATGAAAATGCTCTAAAATTCATTGTGATGATGGCTCCACTTATCTGTGCATATACTAAAAGCCACTGACTTATAGACGTTAACGTGTGCACTCTACACTACGTAAATTTTATCTCAATAAATCCTTTCAAAAATACACAGAAGAGTAAGGGGTTTTGGAATATTGCAGCTGGGAGGCAGTTTGAAATACTGAATAGGCCTCATCCAGAATGTGAAGTTTCAGTAAAGACTTGAGGAAGTTGAATGAGCTGATGAATGGATATATGGAGGGCTATCTTTCCAAGCCAAGAAATTAACTAGAGTCTTGCTCATAAGGCAGCAGCATGTTGGCATGTCCAGAGGACAGTGAGGTGGCCAGGACCACTGGTAAGATCAAGGGTGAAGATATAAAAGAATTTTGGTGGTTAGCATGCGGCAGATCATGATGGGCTTGCAGACCATTGTAAGAATTGTTTTTAGTGTACATGAAATGGGGAGACATATCATTATCTCATTATCAATATTTTAATAAATTGGATCCATGAACCAAATCCAATGAGATTAAATCAATTAATAATAATATGCAAATTTGTATTAAAATTGCAAGAATTCCTTGCACATTTGAGAACAGGAGAGTCATGATTGTTTATCAGCAATAATAAACATTATTAATTTTAATTGTGATCAGCTAATTGAGATTAATTGCAATACATCATGCTTTATAATGTGACTGTCAAAAGGAAAGTATGATTGTAATCTTATACTACATCTATCAATGTCTTTGATTCATAAGACTATAGAGTAAACCCCTAGTTTTCAAAGTCAACTTATGAGGCAGTGCCATCTTATGCAAGTTTGCTGCTTTCTGCCACAGTGATCCTTGGAGAGCTGGCACAAATTGTTTTCCAAACGCCCCTAGGTCTAAAAATAATTTGTATCACAATGAACACAGAAACACCTTCATCCCTTCAGAAATACCTGTCAATTACTTCCAATACAGAATGAAAAACTGACAAAGGAAATATGTGGATTGTAAAAATGCCAGATAGCTTGCAACTACATGAAAGAAAAATGCCATTTTCATTACATTAGATCATTGTTTCACATGAGTTTTGGTATAGCACAATGTTGAACCAAGGGCAAAGAGAGATGAATTAATGAAGTCTTAAGATATCAAGAATTTGAAAGAAAAGGCAGGTCGTCTTTGAAGGTTAGTGACATAGCATTCATCTTCTGTTGTCACCTTTTCTGTCATTCCCTGTATGCCTGATGGAAAGGTTTCACTCAAGTTCAGAGAACAGCATGCAAAATTAGCTACGAATTAATCTTTATGAAGAGAGCTGCATTTCTAGTTAGACTGAGCTTACGTTTTCGCAGGAAGCATTTTTGGGAAATGTTTATGTTAGAGTTTGCCCTTCTTGACAAGGTGAGACATAAATGTCTACTTTATAGACATGAATTAAGATGGGAAGATATTTGGGGGAATCATTTACTCAAACACTAAATAATAAAGGTACACAAAGGACAAATTATACTACATTTCTTTCTCACTTGTTTTCTATGTCTCATGCAATTCACCTTGACTCCCTTCAGTTTCTGTTTAATGTAGAAAGTGACATTTTCATTATTTTAAGCTTCTACCACAATGAAAGAATTTCTCTTTTTCATGAACAGGATCATAAATGAAAGGGAGGAAGAGTGTCCTATATCATATTTATTGTTCAACAAAACACTGCTCCACTGCTTAAATTCAGTTTAAAAAGAGAATTTATTGAACATCTAACATATCCATAAAAGGCAGTAAAGACAAATCAGAAGAGGGCAAGATATTGAAGTATACAGACTTCAATGCTGAGTTTTATATCTTAGGAAGTTACTCCACTTTACAGAGGCTCAATTTCCCCTGAGTTAGGAAGGCGATGCTAATGGGTATTGCATAGGTGTAAGTAGAAAAATGTTGTATTTAAGAGAATCCCACGAGCTTGGTATAAGGCAGAAAATAAATAGATGTGACATGAATAAGTAGTTTATTACATTTGTATGCTACCTGCGGACTAGAGGAAGAAAGAAACACAGCCACTATGCTTGATTAGCATTATAGAGATGGTACAATGATGGTTGTCAGAAGCTGTGGGGAGGAAGAATTGGGGAAGTATTGTTTAATGGGTATAGAGTTTCAGTTTTACAAGATGAAACGAATTATGGAGATGGATGGTAGGGAGGGCTGCACAATGTTATGACTATATTTAGTACAACTGAACTGTACACTTAAAATGGTTAACAGAGTACATTTTATGTTGTGTGTATTTTACCACAATAAAAAAATAAATTACCTTAGGAACATTTTCATGAAAAAGCCCACATAAAATTCATTTTAATGCACGTGTTTATGCATAGCTTTCTATTTTTCTCTTTTCTCTTTATATTCCAAATTCTAATCAGAGAAGGCAATCCCCTCTGTATCTCCAGGATATTCAGTAATGACCACTGGAGGTTCATGCCCTAGTGACAGTGCTCATTTAGCTCCAAATTACAGATGGCTCTAGACTAACTCCACAAAGTTTAAAGAGAAGATTTAAAACAACAGACAAATACTCATCCTGAAGTTACTGAACTGCCTGCCACAACGTTGTTCAAAGGTAGCCAATAAAATCTAGATATTCAATAGCATAACATCAACATACCCAAAAAAAAACTCTGACATGCAAAGAAGCCGTAAGATATATATAATTAAGATATATATTAACGGATAAAAATAAGTCATTTATAAATGACAGAAAAGAAGGAAATTTCTAGGTCCTTAAAGTAAATATATTTCATAAATACATATAGATAAATACATATGTATGTCAAGGTACTTAAATGAAAAATGAACATAGAAAAATAGAAGTTATAAAATGAAAAATGTGACATGTATAGATGAAAAATGAATGTTTGAAATAAAATTTCCATGAGATAGAATAAGCAATGGATTTTACCCTAACATCAGAAAATTTATAGAACAAAATAGAAGCTTTACAAACTAAAGGACAAAGAGTAAACTAAAATAAGAAAGCCAGAAACTCACTGATATGTCAGACAATATGCAGCATTGTAACATACATGTAATCAATATCTCAAAATGGATGGGTGGGGGAATTATAGGTGAATAAAGAATGGTACACTCATTCCTGAGGGCACCGTGGATGGAGGATAGCTTTAGATTTCTAAGGGAGGGTATTATCCATTCATGAAGATCCAACCCCATGACGAAACACCTCCCAGTGAGCCCCACCTGCAACATTGGGGATCAAATTTTAACATGAGATTAGAAGGGGAAAGCATTCAAACCGTAGCAAGAGTTAAATTTCCTTTTTAATAAAATCACTGATATGATTCCATTTCGCCATAGATAAAAGCTAGTATTCCAGCCTACCATTGAGTGTGTTTATAGCTCACCAAAAGGGCACTCTGTCTCGGGAATACAGATTTGCCTAGAGGTATCCTATTGCAGTCAAAGAAAGGGCAATGAGGGATAGCAAAGTTTAGTGATGGAGACACCAGCGCTGCATTTTGCAACAAACAATGTAAAAACTTTACGGATTGGTTCTGCTAACTTACTACAGTTTACATTCCTCTCAGGTGGAAGAATTGTTGCGTTTTTTCTTAAGATAGAAAAGCAATTCAGATAATCTGAAATCTCCACAAGAAGGATAAGAAGCACAGCAGAAACTATTCTAGGCAGGAAGTCAACCCTTTCAACTGTCTGTGCTCCATAAAAACAATTGTCTGCACTGGGAGTCATATGAGGTATAGAAACAGCCAGACCTCTGATCATCTCATTAGTGATTTCAGAAGAAATTACCAGTCAACTGAGTAATTCACTGAGTAAAGTAAACATTTGGTACTGATAGAGGATAGACGGATAACTATTTGTATCACCATATTCATGAAGCTGGAATATTTTCCATTACTGGTATCACATCCGAATGGAAGATGTTAAAAGGTCTCTCATCTTGTAAGATGGATATGAAAGAACATTTTCTGAGAAATGAAATTATTAACACGTCTGCGAGGTGGATGGAAGAGAGAAAAAAGAATAATCAGCTTGAGTTCTTCTCCTTGATAAGACAACTCACTGAAAACATAAAGAGAAAAATACAAGTTTAAAATAATTAACCAGAAGAAGATGACTCTAGAGTTTTAAAATGCTGATAAGATTTTAATTTGCTCCAAGTTGAAAATAATTATATTGCTTGTGTTTTAAGACACATAATGAGCAATTATATCACACATGATAGTTTCAGCAGTAAAATATGATCTGTTAACAGCTGAAACTCATAAAAGCATAGCACAATGTGAAGATAGAATTTGCTACAATAAACCATCTGCTGAAAACTACTATTCTGCAAATTTAAAAATAAAGTTTAAATGTTATTTGTCTTACTTAATAGGTCTGTGAAAAAAAATGCGCTATTTGAAAAGTACCTGCTACCTTAATTAATTCTTTTTATTAGACGGCTGGTTACAGTAAGGCACAGTAAGGTGCTACATAGATATATTGCTAAATTTTCTGCATATACTATGTATTTGCCTTAAATTATTTGAAATTTTATAGTTAAAATAACAAATGTATACTTAAATGTTTTGACACAAATTGCAAATATACCTTTAAAAAGCGTCTTACACTCTTAATATTATTTGTCACCTACATATTTGTCTTTTCTCTATAGGAAAGTTTAAATTTCTCCCTTGAAGCTTTAATTATTTGAGTCTATAAAACAAACTGATAATGTACAAATTAACAGGAAAAAAAGGTTTACACATATGTGCACAAGTATGCACTTGGAGTTTACATAATATATATAAATATATCTATACAAACATTTGTATATTATAAATAGATATACAAATATATACTATATATATAAAAATCCCAGGAAAGGCAAGTTAGTCAAAACGCCTCTGCTTTCTTGATGTTACAAAAAACACAGAGCTGTAGGTTGGTAAATCAGGCTTTGTGGGAGACAGGTGACGACAAGGAAGAAAGAGGAGCCTGGCAGCAGAGGTGGTCTTGTTACATGGATGAAACCTCACAGGGAGCAGCCCTCCTCTTGGGAAGTATAGATAGGAAATGGTGTTTAGAAATGTAAACGTGCCAGGTTCAGTTAATCTTTCCTAAACCCAGACAAGGGAGTATCTCAGGGAAAGCCTGTTTATATCAATGCAGATTTTCTCTACAAATGCAAATCTCTAACAAACACAGCTTTTCACCTATTCTTGTAGAAGAAGTTATCTCCAGTCTTCTGAGTAGCCATCTTGAAGTATGTCAAAAAGCTGGCCAGGCGCACGCCTCTAATCCCAACACTTTGGGTGGCTGAATTGGGTAGATCACCTGAAGTCAAGAGTTGGAGACCAGCCTGACCAACATGGTGAAACCCCATCTCTACTAAATACAAAAAATTAGCTGAGTGTGTTGGTGCATGACTGTAATCTCAGCAACTTGGGAGGCTGAGCTAGGAGAATTACTTGACCCTGGGGGGCTGAGGTTGCAGTAAGCCAAGATTGTGCCATTGTACTCTAGCCTGCGCAATAAAAGAAAAACTCCATCTCAAAAAACAATGTATTTTAGGGTAATATTTTGAGTATCTTTAACTCCATATGTACCATAAATATTATTGTGATTTTCAATCTTTTCTGTGGAGAAAACACAGGTGTGATTTCTAGTGTCGCTGAACATTGTTTTTCTGACAATATTGCAGTTGTGTGTGGGTGTGTGCGTGTGTAGCTACTCTTTAATTTTGTTCACGATTCGTGCCCATTAGATGATTTCACACGATTCCTTTCGATAATGATTCCATTCGACTGCATTCGATGATTTCATTTGATTCCATTCGATGATGATTCCATTCCATTCAATTCCTTGGTGATTCCATTCAATTCCATTCATTGATTCCATTCCATGCCATTCGACAATGTTTCCATTTGATTCCATTTGATGATTCCACTCGATTCCACTTGATAATGATTCCCTTCGATTCCATTCGATGATTCCCTTTGATTCCATTCAATGATGATTGCCTTCGATTCCATTTGATGATTCCATTCAATTCCATTCGATGATTCTGTTCAATTCCATTTGATGATTCCATTTGATTACATTCAAGGATTCCATTCGATATCATTCGATGATCATTCCTTTCAATTCCATTCAATGATTTCATTCGATTCCAAAGATGATGATTCCATTCAAGGCCATTCAATGATTCCATTTGATTCCATTCGATGATGCTTCTCTGTGATGCCATTAGATGTTTCCATTAGATTCCATTCGATGATGATTCCATTTGAGTCCATTCGATGATTCTATTCGATTCCACTCTCTGATAATACCTTTCGACTCCATTCGATGTTTCCTTTTAATTCTATTCAATGATGGTTCCATTCATGTCCATTCGTTGATTGCTTTCAAGTCTATTCGATGATTGCATTCGATTCCTTTCGATGATGATTCCATTCGAGTCCATTCGATAATTCCATCTGATTCCATTCGATGATGACTGCATTCGATTCCATTCGATGATGATTCGAACGGACTCCATTCGATGACTCCATTCAATTCCATTCATTGATGACTCCATTCGATTCCATTCGATGATTCCACTTGATTCCATTCGATGATGATTCCATTCGTGTCCATTCAATGATTCCATTCGATTCCATTCGATGATTATTCCATTCGAGTCCATTCGATGATTCCATTCAAGTCCACTCGATGTTTCCTTTCGATTCCACTCGACGTTGATTCCATTTGAGTCCATTCAATGATTAAATTTGTATGTGTTCCATGATTTCATGCCATTCCATTCGATGATGATTCCTTTCGATTCCATTCCATGATTCTTTTTGGTTCCATTTGACGATGATTCCATTCGAGTCCATACAATGATTCCATTCAATTCCATTCGATGATGATTCCATTAGGGTCCATTTAAGGATTCCATTCAATTCGGTTCGATGATGAATCAGTTAGGGTCCATTCGATGTTTCCGTTGAAGTCCATTTGATTATTCCTTTTGATTCCATTTGATGATGATTCCATTTGATTCCGTTCGATGATTCCATTCAATTCCATTCGATGATGATTCCATTCGTGTCCATTTGATGATTTCATTCGATTCTATTTGGTGATGATTCCATTCGAGGCCATTCGATGATTGCATTCGAGTCCATTTGATTTCATTCGATTCCACTCGATGATGATTCCTTTTGAGTCCATTCGATGATTCGATTTCTGTCCACTAGATGATTCCATTCGATTCCATTCAATGAGGACTCCATTCGAGTCCATTCAATGATTCCATTAGATTCCATTCGATGATGATTCCATTCGAGTTCATTCAAAGATTCAATTCGAGTCCATTCGATGATTCCATTCGATTCCACATGATAATGATTCCTTTCGAATCCATTCGATGTTTCCTTTCGAGTGCATTCAATGATTCCTTTCGATTCCATTCGATGATGTTTACATTCTCTTCCATTTGATGATGATTCCATTCGATTGTATTCGATGACTCCATTTGATTCCATTCGATAGTGATTCCATTCTTGTCCATTGGGTGATTCCATTTGATTCTCATCAATAATGATTCCGTTTGATGTCATTCAATGATTTCCTGCGATTCCATTCAATGATTCCATTCTATTCCATTTGATGATGATTCCATTCGAGTCCATTTGATGATTACATACAATTCCATTAGATAATGATTCCATTCGGGTCCATTAAATGATTCCATTCGGGTCCATTAAATGATTCCATTCGATTCCATTTGAGTCCATTCAATGATTCCGTTCCAGTCCATTCGATTATTCCTTTCGATTTCATATGATGATGATTCCATTTGATTCCATTCGATGATTCTATTCAATTCCATTTGATGATTATTCCATTCGAGTCCATTTGATGATTCTATTCGATTCTATTCAGTGATGATTCCATTCGAGGCCATTCGATGATTGCATTCGAGTCCATTTGATGATTTCACTTGATTCCACTCGATGACGATTCCTTTTGAGTCCATTCAATGATTCCATTTGAGTCCATTTGATGATTCCATTTGATTGCATTTGATGATGATTCAATTCAAGGCCAATCGATGATTCCATTGGAGTCCATTTGGTGACTCCTTTCTATTCCATTTGATGAGGACTCCATTCCAGGCCATTTGATGATTGCATTAGGTTCGATTCAATGATGATTCCATTCGAGTCCATTCAAAGATTCATTTCGAGTCCATTCAATGATTCAATTTCATTCCACTTGATGATGATTCCTTTCAAGTCCATTCAATGATTCCTTTCTAGTGCCTTCAATGATTCCATTCAATTCCATTCGATGATAATTCCATTCGAGTCCATTCAATGATTCCATTCAGTTGCATTTGATGATTTCATACGATTTCATTCGATGATGATTCCATTCGAGACCATTTGATGATTCCATTCGAGTCCATTTGATGATTCCATCCCATGATGATTCCATTCGATTCCATTCGATGATAATTTCATTCGAGTCCATTTGATGATTCCTTTTGATTCCATTCGATGATTCCATTCGATTCCATTCGATGATGATTGCATTCGAGTCCATTCAATGATGATTCCATTCGACTAAATTTGATTATCCCAATGGATTTCATCCTATGATTGGAGTCCATTCGGTGATACCTTTAGATTCCACTCAAAGATGATTCCATTCAATTCCATTCCATGATACCTTTCCATTCCATTCATTGATGATTCCATTCAATTCCATTTGATCATTCCATTTTATTCCATTCAATGATGATACCATTCGATTCCATTTGATGATTCCATTCCATTCCATTCCATTCGATGATGATTCCATTCGTGTCCATTTGATGATTCCATGCTTTTCCATTCGATGATTATTCCATTCGAGTATATTCGATGATTCCATTCAAATCCATTCTATGATGATTATATTCGATTCCATTCGATGATTCCATTCGAGTACATTCGGTGATTCCACTCGATTCCATTCGATGATTATTCCATTGGAGTCCATTTGGCGATTCCTTTAGATTCCACTCGAAGATGATTCAATTCGATTCCGCTTGATGATACCATTCGAATACATTTATTGATGATTCCATTCAAGTGCATTTGATGATACCATTCGATTCCATTTGACGACGATTCCATTCGTTTCCATTCAATGATTCCATTGGGGTCAATTCGATGATTCCATTGGAATCCATTTGATGATGTTTCCATTCAGTGATTCCTTTCAATTGTATTTGATAATGATTCCAATCGATTCCATTTGATGATGATTCCATTGGATTCCATTCTATGATTCCTTTTGATTCCATTAGACAATGATTCCATTCGATTCCATTAGATGATTCCATTCGATTCTATTTGATGATTATTCCATTCGTTTCCATTTGGTGATGATTGCATTCAATTCCATTCGATGATTCCGATCAATTCCATTCGACGATTAGATTCGATTCCATTCGATGATTCCATTTGATTCCATTCTATAATGATTGCATTCAAGTCCATTCGATGATTCCATTCGAGCCCATTCGATAATTCCATTTGAGGCCAATCGATGATTCCATTCGAGTGCATTCGATTTCTCCATTTGATTTCATTCGTTGATGATTGCATTCATTTCCATTCGATGATGATTCCATCTGATAACATTCAATGATGATTCCATTCGATTCCTTTGATTGATTCCATTCGATTCCATTTGATGATGATACCATTTGTGTTGATTCTATTATTTCGTTTGATTCCATTCGATGATGATTCCATTCGAATCCGTTCAATGATTTCATTCAAGTCCATTTGATGATTCCTTTCAATTCCATTTGATGATGATTCCTTTCAATTCCATTTGATGATGATTCCATTCGATGCTATTCGATGATTCCATTTGATTTCATTCGATGATGATTCCATTTGACTCCATTCAATGATTCCATTCGAGTCCATTCGATTATTTCATTAGATTCCATTTGATGATGATTCCATTCGATGCCATTTGATGATTCCATTTGATTCCATTCAATGATGATTCTATTTGAGTTTATTTGATAATGACTGCATTCGATTCCATTTGATGATTCCATTTGATTCCATTCGATGATGACTCTGATTGATTCCATTCGATGATTCCGTTTGATTCCATTTGATGATTCCATTTGATTCCATTCAAAAATGATTTCATTTGAGTCCATTTGATGATTCCATTTGAGCCTAATCGATAATTGTATTTGAGTCCAATCCATGATTCCATTAGAGTCCATCTGATCATTCCATTTGACTCCATTCGGTGATGGTTCCATTCAAGTCCATTCGATGTTTCCATTTGAGTCCATTCCATAATTCCATTTGAGTCCATTCGATGATGCTTTTGATTCCATTCGATGATATTCCATTCGAGTCCATTTGATGATTCCATTCAATTCTAATCAAAGATGATTCCATTCGTGTCCAGTTGGTGATTCCATTAGATTTCATTCCATGATGATTCCTTTCGAGTCCATTCGATGGTACCATTCGAGTCCATGCAATGATTAAATTCAAGTCCATTTGATGATTCCTTTCAATTCAACTTGATGTTTCCATTCGAGTAAATTCGATGATTCCATTTGATTCCGTTCGATTATGATTCCATTCGAGTCCATTTGATGATTCCATGTGATTTCATTCGATGGTGATTTCATTTGTGTCCATTCAATGATTCCATTTGATTCCATTCGATGATGATTCCATTCGAGTCCATTCGATGAATCTTTTCGAATCCATTTGATGATTGCTTTTGATTACACTTGATGAAGATTCCATTTGATCCCATTCGATGATGATTCCTTTCGAATCCCTTTGATGATTCCATTTGATTCCATTCTCTGATGATTACGTTCGAGTCCAAATGATGATTCCTCTCAATTCCATACGATGATGATTCCATTCGATTCCATTTGATGATTCCATTCTATTCCATTCAATAATGATTCCCTTCGAGTAAATTAGATGATTCCATTCAACTCCATTTGATGATTGTTCTACTCATGCCCATTAGATGATTCCACACGATTCCATTCCATGATGATTCTATTCGAGTCCATTTGATTATTCCATTCGATTCCATTCGAGGATGATTCCAACAGATTCCATTTGGTGACTCTATTAGATTCCATCCATTGATGATTCCATCCAATTCCATTCGATGATGATTCCATTTGATTCCATTTGATGATGATTCCATTCGATTCCATTCGATGATGATTCCATTTGATTTCATTCGATGATTCCATTTGATTCCATTCTATGATGATTCCCTTCTATTCCATTCGATGACACCATTCGATTCCATTTGATGGTGATTCTATTCGATTCCATTTGATGATGATTGTATTCAATTCCATTCAATGATGATTCCATTCGAGTCCATTCGATGATTCTATTCAATTCCATTCGATGATGATTCCATTCGAGTCCATTCGATGATTCCATTTTATTTCATTCGATGATGACTCTATTCAATTACATTTGATGATTCCATTCTATTCCATTCCAGGATGATTCCATTTGAGTTAAATCGATGATTCCATTCGAGTCCATTTAATGATTCCATTGGGTTCAATTCGATGATGATTACATTTTATTCCATTCGATGATTCCATTTGTTTCCATTGATTGATGATTCCATTCGACTCCTTTTAATGATGATTCCTTTTGATTTCATTCGTTGATGATTCCATTCGTTTCCATTCGATGATGATTCCATTCCATTCCATTTGATGATGATTTCATTCGATTCCATTCAACGATGATTCAATTCCATTTCATTTGATGATTCTATTCAATTCCATTCGGTGATAATTCAATTTTATTGCATTCGAGGATTCCATTCGATTCCATTTGATGTTGATTCCATTCGATTCCATTCGATCATGATTCAATTCGATAGCAATTGATGATGATTCCGTTTGTGTCCATTCGAATATTCCATTCAATTCCATTCAGTGATGGTTCCATTGGTGTCCATTCGATGATTCCATTCCATTCCATTCGATGTTGATTCTATTCATTTCCATTTGATGATTATTCCATTCATTTCCATTTAATGATGATTCCGTTTGATTGCATTCGATCATTCTATTTGATTCCATTCGAAGATGAGTCTATTCTATTCCATTCGATGATTCCATTTGATTCCATTCAATGATGATTGTATTTCATTACATTTGATGATGATTCCATTCGATGACGATTCCATTCGTGTCCATTCGATGTTTCCATTCGATTCCATTCAATGTCGATTCCATTCGAGTCCATTAGATCATTCCATTCGATTCCATTCAATGATAATTCCATTTGATGCCATTTGACGATTCCATTCGATTTCATTCAATGATGATTCCATTCTAATCTGTTTGATGATTCCATTCCATTCCATTTGGTGATGATTCCATTAGAATCCATTCAATGATTCCATTCGATTCCACTCGATGATGATTCCATATGAGTCCATTAGATGATTCCATTCAATTCCACCTGATGATGATTCCATTTGGATCCATTAGATGATTCCATTCAATGATGTTTCCATTCGAGTCCATTCGATGATTGCACTCATTCCCATACGATGAAGATTCAACTGAATTCCATTTGATGATTCCATTCTATCCCATTCGATGATGATTCCATTCGGGGGCATTAGATAATTCCATTTGATTCCATTCGATGATGATTCTATTCATGTCCATTACATGATTGCATTCAATTCCATTCGATGATGATTCCATTCTATTCAATTCGATGATGATTCCATTCGGGTCCATTAGATGATTCAATTCGCTTCCATTCGATGATGATTCCATTCTATTCCATTCAAAGATGATTCTATTCGGGTCCATTAGATGATTCCATTTGATTCCATTTGATGATGACGGCATTCTATTCCATTCGATGGTGATTCCACTCGGGTCCATTAGATGATTCCATTCTAATCCATTCAATGATGATTCCATTTAAGTCCATTCAGTGATTCTATTAGAGTCCATTAAATGATTGCTTTTGATTCCATTCTATGATGATTCCATTCCTTTCCGTTCGATGATGATTCCATTCGATATCATACTATGATTCCTTTCGATTCCATTTGATGTTGATTCCATTTGATTTCATTCAATGATTCTATTCAAATCCATTCTATTATGATTCCATTCGATTCCATTCGATGATTCCTTTTGATTACATTTGATGATGATTCCATTAGATTCCATTCAATGATTCCTTTTGATTCCATTCGAGTCCATTCGACGATTCCTTTCGATTTTATTCGATGATGATTCCATGTGAGTGCATTCAATTGTGATTCCATTTGATTCCATTGGATGATTCCATTCGATTCCATTCGATGATGATTGCATTCAATTCCATTCAATGATTCCATTTGATTCCATTCCAAGATGATCCCATTTGATTCCATTCAATGATGATTCCATTCGAGTCCATTCAATGATTCCATTAGAGGGGATTTGACGATTCCATTCGATGATGATTCCATTGTACTCCATTCGTTGATGATTCCAAACGGTACCATTCGATGATGATTCCATTCAATTGCATTCGATGATGATTCCACTCAGTTCCATTCGTTGATTCCATTCGATTCCATTCGATGATGATTCCATTTGATTCCATTCGATGTTTCCTTTAAATTCTATTCAATGATTATTCCATTCGAATCCATTAAATTGTGATTCCATTCGAGTCCATTAAATTGTGATTCCATTCGACTGCATTCTATGGTTCCATTCGATTCCATTTGATGATGATTTCATTAGATTCCCTTCGATGATTCCATTTGATTTTATTCAAAGATGATTCCATTTGATTCCATTCGATAATTCCATTCGATTCCATTTGATGATTCCAATGGATTCCATTTGATGATGATCCCATTCGAGTTTGTTCCATGACTCCATTCAATTCCATTTGATGATGATTCCATTCGTGTCTATTCCATGATTCCATTTCATTACATTCGATGATGATTCTATTCAATTCCTTTCCATGATGATTCCATTCGATTCCATTCAATGATGATTCCATTCGATTCCATTCAATGATGATTCCATTTGATTTCATTCGATGATTCTATTTGATTCCATTCAAAGATGATTCCCTTCTATTCCATTCAATGATTCCATTCGATTTCATTCGATGATGATTCCATTCTAATCCATTTGATGATTCCATTCCATTACATTTGATGATGACTCCATTCGAGTCCAGTCAATGACTCCATTCGATTTCATTAGATGATGATTCCACTCGAGTCCATTCGATGATTCAATGCGATTTCATTAGACAATAATTACATTCGATTCTATTCGATGATTCCTTTTGATTCCATTTGATGATGATTCCTTTCAAGCCCATTCGATGATTCTATTCAATTCTATTCAATGATGATTCCATATGAGTCCATTAGATGATTCCATTCGATTCCATTTCATGATGATTCGATATGGGTCCATTAGATGATTCCATTTGATTACATTCAATGAGGTTTCCATTTGAGTCCATTCAATGTTTCCCCTTGATTGCATTCGATGACTCCATTCAATCCCATTCGATGATTCCCTTTGATTTCATTCGATGATCATTCCATTTGATTCAATTCAGTGATTCCATTCGATTCCATTTGATGATGATTCCATTCGAGTCCATTCGATGATCTCATTCAGTTCCATTCAATCATTATTCCATTCAAATCCATTTGATGATTCCTTTCGCCTCCCTTCGATGATTCCGTTCGATCCCATTCAATGATTCTCTTTTATTCCATTCGATAATCATTCCATTCATTTCAATTTGGTGATTCCATTCGATTCCATTCAATGATGATTCCATTCGATTAGATTTGATTATGATTCCATTCAATTCCATTTGATGATGACTCCGTTGGGTTCCATTTTATGATGATTCATTCAGTTCCATTCAATGATGATTCCATTTGGTTCCATTCGATGATTCCATTCGATTACATTTGTTGACAGTTCCATTCGATTCCACTCAATGATGATTCCATTCAATTCCATTAGATGATGATTTCATTTGATTCCATTTGATGATGATTCCATCTGATTTCATTCGAGGATTCTATTTGATTACATTCGATGATGATTCCCTTCTATTCCATTCGATGAGTCAATTTGATTCCATTTGATGATGATTCAGTTTGATTCCATTTGATGATGATTCTATTCGATTCCATTCCATGATGATTTCATTCGAGTCCATTCGATGATTCCATTCTATTCCATTCGATGATGATTCCATTCGAGTCCATACGATGATTCCGTTTGATTTCATTCAATGATGATTCTTTTCAATTCCATTCGATGATTCCATTCTATTGCATTTGATGGTGATTCCATTTGATTCGAATCAATGATTCCATTCGAGTACATTTAATGATTCCATTGGGTTCAATTCGATGATGATTACATTTTATTCCATTCAATGATTCCATTTGTTTCCATTCATTGATGATTCCATTCGATTCCTTTCAGTGATGAATCCTTTAGATTTCTTTCATTGATGATTCTATTCGGTTCCATTTGATGATGATTCCGTTTGATTCCATTTGACTATGATTTCATTTGATTCCATTCAATGATGATTCCATTCCATTTCATTCTATGATTCTATTCGATTCCATTTAATGATGATTCAATTCTATTGCATTTGAAGTTTCCATTCAATTCCATTCGATGATGATTCCTTTCAATTCCATTTGATGATGATTCCATTCGATTGTAATCAACGATGATTCCATTTGAGTCCATTCAAAGATTCCATTCAATTCCATTCAATGATGGTTCCATTGGTGTCCATTCGATGATTCCTTTCCATTCCATTTGATGATGTTTCTATTCAATTCCATTCAATGATGATTCCATTTGATTGCATTCGATGATTCTATTTGATTCCATTCCAAGATAAATCCATTCTCTTCCATTCGATGATTCCATTCGATTCCATTCAATGATGATTCTATTCGATTACATTTGATGATGAATCCATTCAAATCCATTCGATGATGATTCAATTAATGTCCATTCGATGTTTCCTTTTGATTCCATTCAATGACAATTCCATTCAAGTCCATTGGATCATTCCATTCGATTCCATTCAATGATGATTCCATTTGAGGCCATTCGATGATTCCATTCGATTTCACTCAATGATGATTCCTTTCTAATTCATTTGATGATTCCATTCGATTCCATTCGATGATGATTCCATTTGAGTCCATTCGATGAGTCCATTCGATTCCATTCGATGATGATTCCATTTGGGTCCATTAGACGAATTCATTTGATTCCATTCGATGATGATTCCATTGGAGTCCATTCGATGATTCCATTCGATTCCATTCTCCAATTATTACGTTCGAGTCCATTCGATGATTGCACTTGATTCCATACGATAAAGATTCCATTTGATTCCATTTGATGATTCCATTCTATTCCATTCGATGATAATTCCATTCGAGTCCATTCGATGATTCCATTCGATTCCATTCTCCAATTATTACGTTCGAGTCCATTTGATGATTGCACTTGATTCCATATGATAAAGATTCCATTTGATTCCATTTGATGATACCATTCTATTCCATTCAACGATGATTCCATTCAGGTACATTAGATGATTCCATTTATTCCATTCGATCATGATTCTATTCATGTCCATTACATGATTCCATTCGATTCCATTCGATGGTGATTCCATTCTATTCAATTCGATGATGATTCCATTCGATGATTCCATTTGAATCCATTCGATGATGATTCCATTCTATTCCATTCAATGATGATTCCATTTGGGTCCATTTGATGGTTCCATTCGATTCCATTCGGTCATGATTCCATTCGGGTCCATTCGATGATTCCATTCTACTCCATTTGATGATGATTCCATTCAAGTCCATTCGATGATTCTATTAGAGTCCATTGAATGATTGCTTTTGATTCCATTCGATGATGATTCCATTCCATTCCATTCGATGATGATTCCATTTGATACCATTCTGATTCCTTTCAATTCCATTTGATGTTGATTCCATTGTATTTCATTCGATGATTCTATTTGAATCCATTCAATTATGATTCCATTCGATTCCATTAGATGATTCCATTTGATTACATTTGATGATGATTCCATTTGATTCCATTTGATGATTCCATTTGATTCCATTCCCATTCGATGACGATTCTATTCGAGTCCATTCGATGATTCCTTTCGATTCTATTTGATGATGATTCCATGCGAGTACATTCAATGGTGATTCCATTGGATTCCATTCGATGATTCCTTTCAATTCCATTCAGTGATGATTGCATTCAATTCCATTCGATGGTTCCATTCAATTCCATTCGATGATACCAATGGATTCCATTTGATGATGATTCCATTCGTGTCCATTCCATGCTTCCATTCAATTCCATTAGATGATTATTCCATTCGAGTGTATTCAATGTTTCCAATCAATACCATTCAATGATGATTCCATTCGAGTCCATCTGATGACTCTATTTGATTCCATCCAATAATGATTCCCTTCGAGTCCATTTCATGATTCCATTCGAGTCCTTTCGATGATTCCATCCTATTCCATTTGATGATGATTATGTTCGAGTCCATTCGACACTTCCCTTCGAGTCCATTTGATGATTCCATTCGAGTCGAATTGATGATTCCATTCAATGCCATTTGATGATGACTCCATTCGAGTCAATTCGATGATTCAATTTGATTCCATTCGATGATGATTCCATTTGAGTACATTTGATGAATCCATTCGATTCCATCCGATGATGACTCCTTTCCCGTACATTCGATGATTCCATTCGATTCCATTCGATGATGATTCCATTAGCCTCCTATTGATGATTCCATTCAAGTCCATTCGATGATTCCTTTCGAGTCCATTTGATGATTCCATTCTTTTCCATTCGATGATGATTCCATTAGCGTCCATTCGATGATTCCATTCGAATCCATTCGATAATACCTTTCGAGTCCATTTGATGATTCCATTCGAGTCCATTCGATGATTCTATTTGATTCCATTCAATGATGATTCCATTTGAGTCCATTTGATGACTCCATTCGAGTCCCTTCGTTGATTCCATCCGATTCCATTTGTTGATGATTCCATTTGAGTCCATTTGAAGATTCCATTCGATTCCATTCTATAATTCCATTCGAGTCCATTCGATTAATCCATTCAAGTTCGTTCGATGATTCCATTCATTTCCGTTCAGTGATGATGCCATTCTGAATTTCTAAACGAAGAAAAATATTCATCAACCTATGGCTAAATAACATATTTAGAGATAAAAAACAAAATGCCACCAGCAGAATTCCACTAAAGAAACTAAAGAGAAACTCTGAAAATATGCTTCAGAAAGGTTGAAGTTCTGAAATCCAAGAATGAACAGAGAGTAAAATATATTGCAAACATTCAGATAGAACAAATAAGAAACTGGGTTTTGAAACAAAAATATATTTAAAATTAGATAAGCACTGCAATATGTATGATAAAAAGAAAAAGAAATTAATTGTCTGACAAGAGCAGAAAAGTGAGTATGACTTTGCAACTCTTTTTCTTTTTTGAATGGAATGGAATGGAATGGAATAAAATGGAATGGAATGGAATTCAATTGAATGGAATTGAATGGAGAGGAATAGAATGGAATGGGAGAGATAAGATTGTGGCATTGTGCTACAGGATGGGTGACAGAGATAGAGACACCCTTGAAAGAAAGGAATGGAATGGAAAGCAGTGGAATAGAATGGAATGGAATGCAATGGAGTGGAGTGGAGTGGAGAGGAGAGGAGTGGAATGGAGTGGAATGGAATGGAGTGGAATCATCATTGAATAGAATAGAATGGAATTATCATCTAATGGAATCAATGGAATCATCATCGAATGGAATCGAATGGAGTCATCATCGAATGGAATCAAAAGGCATCATCATCCAATGGACTTCAATGGAATCATCATCGAATGGACTCAAATGGAATCATCACTGAATGGAAACGAATGGAATCATCATCGAATGTAATTGAATGGAATCATCATTGAATGGAATCGAATGGAATCATCATCGACTGGAATGGAATGGAATCATCATCGAATGGAAAAGAATGGAATTATCATCGAATGGAATCAAACAGAATCATCATCGAATGGAATCGAATGGAGTCATCATCGAATGGAATCAAAATGCATCATCATCCAATGGACTTGAAAGGAAGCATCATCGAATGTACTTGAAAGGAAGCATCATCAAATGGAATCAAATGGAATCATCATTGAATGGAAGCAAATGGAATCATCATCGAATGGAATCGAATGGAATCATCATTGAATGGAATCAAATGGAATCATCATCAAATGGAACCGAATGTAACCATCATCAAATGGAATCGAATGGAATCATCATTGAATGGAATCGAATGGAATCATCATCAAATGGAACCGAATGTAACCATCATCAAATGGAATCAAATGGAATCATCATTGAATGGAATCGAATGGAATCATCAAAAAATGTAAACGAATAGAATCATTGAATGGGATCTAAAGGAATCATCATCAAATGGAACTGAATTGAATCATCATTAAATGGAACCGAACAGAGAAATCGTCAAATGGAATCAAATGGACTCTTGATCGAATGGAATCATCAAAAAATGTAAACGAATAGAATCATTGAATGGAATCTAAAGGAATCATCATCAAATGGAACTGAATTGAATCACCATTAAATGGAACCGAAGAGAGAAATCGTCACATGGAATCAAATGGACTCTTGATCGAATGGAATCGAATGGAATCATCATCAAATGGAATTGAATGGAATCATCATCGAATGAAATCAAACGGAATCATCGAATTGAATCAAATGGAAAGGTCATCGAATGGAATCGAACGGAATCATCGAATGGGATGAAAGGGAATCATCAAAGGGAATCAAATGGAATCATCGAATGGATTCAGATGGAGTCATCAGTGAATGGAATTGAATGGAATCATGGAATGGACTCGAATGGAATCATCATTAAATGGAAACCAATGAAATCATCGAATGAACACGAATGGAATCATCATTGAATGGAATCAAATGGAATCATCGAATGGCATCGAATGGAATCATCATCGAATGGAATCTAATGGAATCATCGAATGGACTCGAATGGAATAATCAAATGGGCTTGACTGGAATCATCATAGAATGGAATCGAAAGGAATCATCAAATGGACTCAAATGGAATCATCATCAAATGGAAGCGAATGGAATCATCATCAAATGGAATCTAATGGAATCATCATCAAATGGAATGATCATCGAATGGAATCACCAAATTGAATAGAATGGAATGATCATCGAAGGCAATCGAAGGGAAACATTGAATGGGAATGAACGGAGTCATCGAATGGAATCGAGAGGAATCATCGAATGAATTCCAATGGAATCATCATCGAATGGAATCGAATGGAATCATCGAATGGCCACGACTGGAATCATCATCAAATGGGATTGAATGGAATCATCAAATGGACACGAATGGAATCACAACTGAATGGCAATGAAAGGAATCATCGAATGGCATCGAATGGAATCATCATCGAATAGAATCAAATGGAATAACTGAAGGTACTCGAATGGAATCATCGAATGGACTCGAGAGTAATCATCATCAAATGGAATCGAATAAAATCATCAAATGGACTCGCATGGAATCTTCATCGAATGGAATCTGATGGAATCACTGAATGGAGTTGAAGGGAATCATCAAGGAATGGAATCGAATGGATTCATGGAATGGAGTCAAATGGAATCATCAGCAAATGGAATCGAATGGAATCATTGAATAACATCGAATGTAATCATCATCAAATGGAGTCAAATGGAATCATCAAATGAACTCGAATGGAATCATCATCGAATGGAATCAAATGCAATCTTTGAATGGACCCGAATGGAGTCATCATCGAATGCAAATGAATGGAATCATCACCGAAAGGAATCGAATGGAATCATCATCGAATGGAATCACATGGAATCATCAAATGGAAAAGAATTGAATAATCACATAAAGGAATTGAATAGAATCATTGAATGAAATCGAATGGAATCATCATCGAATGGAAACGAATGGAGTCATCATCGAGTGCAATTGAATGGAATCGTCATCGAATGGGATCGAATGGAACCATCAACAAATGGAATTCAAAGGAATCATCATCAAATGGAACCAAATAGAATCATCAAATGGACTCGAATGGAATCTTGGAATGGGCTCGAAAGGAATCGTCATTGAATGGAATTGAATGGAATCATCGAACAGAATTGAATCAAATCATCATCGAATGAAATCAAATGGAATCATCGAATGGACTCGAATGGAATCAACATCGAATGGAATCAAAAGGAATCATGGAATGAACTCAAAGGGAATCATCGAATGGACCCGAATGGAATCATCATTGAATGGAATTGAATGGAATCATCGAATGGACTCGAATTGAATCTTTGAATGGAACTGAAAGGAATCATCATCGAATGGAACCGAAAGGAGTCATCATCGAATGGAATCACATGGAATCATCATCGAATGGACTCGAATGGAATCATCATCGAATGGAACCAAAAGGAGTCATCATCGTATGGACGTGAATGTAATCATCATCAAAAGGACTCGAATGGAATCATCGTAAACTGGAATTGAATGGAATCATCGAACGGACTCGAATGGAATCATCTGAGAATGAAATCGAATGGAATTATCGAAAGGACTCGAAAGAAATCAACTTTGAATGGAATCGAAGGGAATCATCAAATGGAATCAAATGCAATCATCATCGAATGGAATTGAATGGAATCCTGGAATGGAATCGAATGGAATCACCATTGAATGGACTCGAATGGAATCATCATTGAGTGGAATCAAATGGAATAATCGAATGGACTCAAATGGAATCATCATCGATAGGAAACAAATGTACTCATCGAATGGAATCGAAAGGAATCATCGTCAAATGTAATCAACAGCAAACACTGAATGGAAACGAATGGAACCATCATCAAAAAAATCGAATAGAATAATCGAATGGAATCGAATGCAATCACCATCAAATGGAATCGAATATAATCATAGTATGACATCGAATGGAATCATCATCGCATGGAATAAAAGGGAATCATCATCGAATGGAATTGAAAGCAATCACTGAATGGACTTGAATAGAATCATCAAATGGATTTGAAGGGAATCCTCATCGAATGGAATAGAATGGAACCATCGAATGGACTCGAATGGAATCATCATGGAATGGAATCAAATGGAATCATCACATGGACTCGAATGGAATCATCATCAGATGGGATCATCATCAAATGGAATCGAATGGAATCATCGAATGAACACGAAAGGAATGAACAAATGGACTCAAATGGAAACATCAAATAGAATCGAATGGAATCATCGAAAGGAATTGAATGGAATTTTTGAATGGACTCGAATGGAATCATCGAATGGACTCGAATGGAATCATCAAATGGAATCAAACCGAATCATCATCGAATGAAATTGAATGGAATCATCGAATGGAATTGAAGGCAATCATCATCGAATGGAATCGAATGGAATTATCATTGAATAGAATAGAATGGAACCATCGAATGGAATCGAATGGAATCATCATCAAATGGAATCGAGCGGAATCATCGAATGGAATCAAATGGAATCATTGTCGAATGGAATGGAATGGAATCATTGAATGGAATTTAATGGGATCACCAGTGAACGGAATCAAATGGAATCATCTTCTAATAGAATCAAAAGGAATCATCGAATGGACTCAAATGGAATCATCATCGAATGGAATCGTGTGGAATCATTGAATGAACTGGAAATGAATCATAATCAAATGGAATCAAAAGAAATCATCATCGAAAGGAATCACATGGAATCATCATCGAATGGAATCATATGGAAACATCACAAAACAGAAGTGAATGGAATCATCAATTCGACTCGAAAGGAATCATCAAATGGACTCGAAGGGAAGTGTCGAATGGACTCAAACGGAATCATCATCGAATGGAATAGAATGGATCATAAAAAGGACTCGAATGGAATCATCAAATGGACTCGAAGGGAATCATTATTGAATGGAATCGAATAAAGTCATTGGATGGACTCAAATGGAATCATCATTGAATGGAATTGACTGGAAACATCGAATGCACTCGAATGGAATAATCATCTAATGGAATTGAATGGAATCATGGAATGGACACGAATGGAATCATCATCAAATGGAATCCATTGGAATCATTGGATGGAATCGAATGGAATTATTGAATGGAATGGAATGGAATCATCTTTGAATGGAATTGAATGGAACCTTCTAATGGAATCGAATGCAATCATCATTGAATGGAATTGACAGGAATCATTGAATGGAATACAATGGAATCACCATTGAATGCACTTGCATGGAATCATCATCCAATAGAATCAAAAGGAATCATTGAATGGACTCGAATGGAATCATCATTGAATGGCAATGGAATCGAAGGGAATCATCAAATGGAATCAAATGGAATCATCATCAAATATAATCAAATGGAATCAACGAATGGAATCGAATGGAATCTTAATTGAATGGATTCGAATAGAATCATCGAATGAAATAGAATGGAATCAACATCAAATGGAATTCAAAGGAATAATAGAATGGTATCAAATGGAATCATCATCGAATGGAATGGAATGGAATCATCATCGAATGGAATCAAAAGCAATCATTCAATGGACTCTAATAGAATCATTGAATGGACTTGAAAGGAATCATCATCAAATGGAATCAAATGGAATCATCTAATGGACCCGAATGGAATCATCTTTGAATGGAATAGAATGGAATCATCTCGAATGGAATCGAATGGAATCATCTAATGGACCCGAATGGAATCATCATCGAATTGAATCTAATGGAATCAACATCGAATGGAATCCAATGGAATCACTGAATTAAATCGAATGGAATGATCATCGAATGGAATTGAAGGGAATCATAGAATGGGACAGAATGGAATCATTGATGGTAATAGAATGCAATCATCGAATGGATTTGAAGGGAATCATCATCGAATGGAATTCAATGGAATCATGGAATGGACACGAATTGAATCATCATCAAATGGAATCGAATGCAATCATCGAATGGACATGAGTGGAATCATCCTTGAATGGAATCGAATGGAATCATCGAATGGCATCAAATGGAATCAATATCGAATGGAATCTAACGGAATCATAGAATGGACACGAATGGAATCATCGAATGGACTTAAGTGGACTCATCATCAAATGGAATCGAATGGAATCATCGAATGGACTCAAATGGAATCATCATCAAATGGAATAGAATGGAATCATCAAATGCAATAGAATGGCATCATCATCAAATGAAATCAAATGGAAACATTGAATGCACTCGAATGGAATCATCAGTGAATGGAATAAAATGGAATCATTGAATGGACTAGAATGTAATCATCATTGAAAGGAATTGAAAGGAATAATAAAATGGACTGGAATGGAATCAATGAATGGACTAGAATGAAATCATCATTGAATGGTATCGAATGGAGACACTGAATTACTCAAATGGAATAATCATCGAATGGAGTTGAATGGAATCAAATGGAATCATCATTGAATGGGATCGAATAGAATCGTCATCGAATGGTGTCGAATGGAATTATCATCAAATGGTATCTAATGGAATAATAATGTATCGAGAGCGAATGGAATCATCAATGAATGTAATCAAATGGAGAACTCAAATGGAATCCATTCGAATCATCATCAAATGGAACCGAATTCAGTCATCATCGAATGGAATTGAATGGAATCCTCCACTGAATGGAATCGAATGGAATCATCAACGAATGTAATCAAAAGGAATCATCATGGAATAGAATCGAATGGAATCATCGAATGGAATGGAATGGCATCATCATGGAAAGGAATGTCAGGGAATCATCAAATGGAAGCGAACCGAATCATCGAATGGAAACGAATAGAATCATCATCGAATGGACTCGAATGGAATAATCAAATAGACTCCAATTGAATCAACAAATGAAATCGAAAGCAATCATCGAATGGACTCGAATGGAATCATCATCAAATGGAATCGGATGGAATCAACGAAAGGACTCGAATGGAATCATCAAAAGGCACGAATGGTATCATCATTGAATGAAATCAATTTGAACCACTGAATGGACTCGAATGGAATCATCATCGAATGGAATCGAATGGGATCATTGTCAAATGGAATCGAATGGGAACATCATCAAAAGTAATCCAATGGAATCACCGAATGGATATGAAAGTAATGATCAAACGGACATGAATGGAATCATCAAATGGAATCGAATGGAATCATCGAATGGACTCGAATGGAATTATCGAATGGACTCAAATAGAGTCATCGAACTGACTCTAATGGAATCATCATCAAACGGAATTGAATGGAACCATCAAATGGACTCGAATTGAATCATTGAATGGAATCAAATGAAATCATCGAATGGACTCAAATGGAATCATCATCAAATGGAAACGAATGGAATCCTCAAATAGAATCAAATGGAAACATCAAATGAAATCGAACGGAATCATCATCCAATGGAATCGAATGGAATCATCGAATGGAATCAAAGCAATCATCATTGAATGGAATCAAATGGAGTCATTGAATGGAATCGAATGGAATCATCGTCAAGTGGAATCATTGTCAAGTGGAATCATGTGGAATCATAGAATGGAATCGAATGGAATCATTGGCGAATGGAATGGAATGGAATCAATGAATGGAATTGAATGCAATCACCAATGAATGGAATTGAATGGAATCATTCTCGAATTGAATCGAATGGAATAATCTAATGGACTCGAATAGAATCATCATGGAATGGAATCGTGTGGAATCATCTAATGGGCACGAGTAGAACAATCATCAAATGGAATAGAATGGAATCATCTAATTTACTCGAAGGGAATCATTATTGAATGCAATAGAATAGAATCATCGAATGGAATCATCATCATAGGAAATTGACGGGAATCATCGTTTGGACTCAAATGTAATCATCAGAGAATGGAATCAAATGGAATCATCAAAGGGATTCGAATGGAATCATCATCAAATGGAATCGAATGGAATCTTCATCAAGTATAATCAAAAGCAATCATCAAATGGATTCGAATAGAATCATCAAATGGACTCGAATGGAATCATCACCGAATGGAATCAAATGGAATCATCGAATGGACTCGAATGAAATCACCATCAAATGAAATCAAATGGAATCATCGAATGGACACGAATGGAATCATCATCAAATGGAATCAAATGGAATCATCGAATTTATTCAAATGGAAACATTAAGTGGGATTGAAAGGAATCATCAAATGGACTTGAATTTCATCATTTCATGGACTCGAATGGAATCATCGAATGGACTCGAAAGGAATCATCATCGAATGAAATCTAATGGAATCACCGACTGGACACGAATGGAATCATCTTTGCATAGACTCGAATGGAATCATCAAACGGACTCAAATGGAATATCATCGAACGGAATCAAAAGCATCATCGAATGGACTCAAATGGAATTATGGAATGGACTAGAATGGAATAATCGAATGGACTCGAATGGAATCATCACCAAATGGACTAAAATGGAATGATCGGATAGACTCTAATGGAATCATGGATTGGACTCAAATAGAATCATTGAATGGGCTTGAATGGAATCATCGAATGGACTCGAATGGAATCATTTTTGAATGGAATCAAATGGAATCATCAAATGGAATCAAATGGAATCATCGAATGGAATGGATAAGAGTCATCATCGAATGGAATCAAATGGAATCATCGAATGGAATCGAATGCAGACTTTATCAAATAAACTCAAATGGTATCATCATTGAATGGAATCAAATGGAATCATCAAATGGCATCGAATGGAATCATCATCAAATGGAATCTAATGAAATAATTGAATGGACTCGAATGGAATCATTGAATGGAGTCAAATGGAATCATCATCGAATGAAATCGAATGGAATCATCAAATAGCATCGAATGGAATCATCATCGAATGGAATTGAAAGGAATCATCAAATGGACTTGAATGAAATCATTGAATGGATTAGAATGGAATCATCATCTAATGGAATCAAACGGAATAATAGAATCAACACAAATGGTATCATCATCAAATGGAATCGAATGGAATCAATCAAAGGAATCGAATGGAATCAATCAAAGGAATCAAATGGAATCATCATTGAATGTTATCAAATGGAATCCTCATCGAATGGAATCGAAAGGAATCATCATCTAATGGAAACGAATGCAATCATCAACGAATGAAATCAAGTGGAGAAATTGAATGGACTTGAATGGAATCATCGATTGGCCTCAAATGGAATTATCGAATGGGCTCAAATGGAATCATCGAATGGACTCGAATGGAATCATTATCAAATGGAATCAAATGGAATCATCGAATGGAATCGAATCTAATCATCAAATGGAATCAATCGGAATCATCGAATGGAATTGAATGCAATTATCATCTAATGGAATCAAATGGAATAATCATCAAATAGAATCGAATGGAATCAACGAATGGAATCAAATGGAATCATAGAATGGAATCCAATGGAATCATCATTGAATGGAATCGAATGGAATCATTATTGAATAGAATTGAATGGAATCACTGAATGGAATCATCATCAAATGGATTCCAATGGAATCATCATCAAATGGATTCCAATGGAATCATCGAATTGACACAAATGGAATCATCATTGAATGGAATCGAATGGAATCACTGAATGGAAATGAATGGAATCATCATCAAAAGGAATCGAATGGTATCATCAAATGCACTTGAATGGAATCATCAATGAATGGAATCGAATGGTATCATCGAATGGAATCAAATGGAATCATCTTCGAGTGGAATCTAAATTAATCACCAAATGGACTCCATTGGAATAATCATCGAATGGAATCGAGTGGAATCATCGAATGTACTCGAATGGAATCATCGAATGTAATCGAATATAATCATCATAGAATGGATTCGAATGGAATCATCGAATATACTCTAATGGAATCATCAATGTATGGAAAAGAATGGAATCATCAAATGGACATGAATGGAATCATCATCGAATAGAATGGAATGGAATCATCAAATGAAATTGAATGGAATCATCATGGAATGGAATAAAATGGAATCATCAAATGGAATCAAATGGAATCATCAATGAATGGAATGGAATGGTATCATGGAATGGAATTGAATGGAATCATCTTTGAGTGGAATCTAAAGGAATCACCGAATGGACTCCAATCATCAGATGAAATCGATTGGAATCATCGAATTCAGTCAAATGGAATCATCATTGAATGGACTTGAATGCAAACATCATCGAATGGAATCGAATGGAATCATCAAATGGAATCAAAAGGAATCATTGAATGGACTCCAATGGTGTAATCATGGAATGGAATCGAATGGAATTATCATGGAATGGAATCGAATAGAATCATCGAATGGACTCGCATGGAATCATACTCAAAAGATATCAAATGGAATCATCAAATGGACTCAAATGGAATCATCATCGAATGAAATCGTATGTAATCATCGAATGCAACTGAATGGAATCATTGAATGGAGTCGAATGGAATTACCATCGAATGGAATTGAATGGAATCATTGAAGGCACTCGAAAGGAATCATTGAATGGACTCGAAAGGAATCATCATCAAGTGGAATCGAATGGAATCATTGAATGGACTCGAGTGGAATCATCATGAATTGAACCTAATGCAATCATCAAATAGCCTCTAATGGAGTCCTCTTCGAATGGAATAGAAAGGAGTCACCAAATGGACTCCAATGGAATCACCGATTGGCTTCCAATTGAATCATCATCGAATGCAATCAAATGGAATCATCGAATGGACTCGAATGGAATCATCGAATGGACTCAAAAGGAATCATCATCGAGTGGAATCAAGTGAAATCATCAAATGGACTCAAATGCAATCATCGAATGGCCTCAAATGGAATCATCATTGAATAGAATCGAATGGAATCATCAAATGGACTCTAATGGAATCATCATCGAATGGAATTGAATGGAATCATCGAATGGAATCGAATCGAATCATCATCATATGGAATCGAAAGGAATAATCGAATGGACTGGAACAGAATCATCGAATGTAGTCAGATGGAATCATCATCGAACTGAATTGAATGGAATCATTAAATGAACCCGAATGGAATCATCATCGAATGGAATTGAATGGAATCATTGTATGGACTCGAAAGGAATCATCATCAAATGGAATCAAAACGAATCATGGAATGGAATTGAAAGGAATCATCGAATGAAATGGCATGGAATCATTGAATGTCATCAAACGGAATCATCATCAAAAGAATCGAACGGAATCATCCAATGGACACGAATGGAATCATTATCAAAAAGAATCGAACGGAATCATCGAATGGACACAAATGCAATCATTATCGAATGGAATCGAATGGAATACATTGAATGGAATCAAATGGAATCATCATGGAATGGAATCGAATGGAATCATCATCAAATGGAATCGAATGAAACCATCGAATGGAATTGAATTGAATCATCAAATGGAATTGAATGGAATCATCATCGAATGGAGTCGAATGGAATCATCATCGAATGGAATCTAATCAAATCATCAATGAAGGGAGTCAAATGGAATCATCATCGAATGGAATGGAATGGAATCACCATCGAATGGAATGTTATGGAATCATCGAATGGACTCGAATGGAATCATTGATTGGAATTGAATACAATCACCATTGAATGAAATAAAATGGAATAATCGAATGGACTCTAATAGAATGATCATCGAATGGAATCGAATGAAATCATGGAACACACTCAAATTTAATCATTGAATGGACTCAAATGGAATCTACGTTGAGTGGAATCGAAAGGAAACATTGAATGGACTTGAATGGAATCATCAAATGGACACGAATGGAATCATCAACGAATGGAATCAAGTGGAATCATCAAATGGAATCGAATGGAATCATCAATGAATGGAATCTAATGGAATCATCAATGAATGTAATCGAATGGAGTCATTGAATGGAGTCTGTTCAAATCATCATTGAATGGAACCGAATGCAGTCATCATCGAATGGAATCAGATGGAATTATTGAATGGACTCAAATGGAATCATCATCAAATGGAATCGAATGGAATCATCGAATAGACTCGAAAGCAATCAACGAATGGACTCAAATGGAACCATCATGGAATGGAATAAAAAGGAAACATCGAATGGAATCGAGAGGAATTATCAGCGAGTGTAATTGAATAGAATCATCGAATGGACTTGAATGGAATCATCATCGAATGGAACCGAATGGAAACATCTAATGGCATCGCACAGAAGCATCATCGAATGGAATCAAATGGAATAATTGAATAGCTTTGAATGGAATCATCATCTTTGGAATCGAATGAAATCATTGAATGAAATTGAAAGGAATGATCATCGAATGATATGGAATGGAATCCTCGAATACAATCAAATGGAATCATCAAATAGAATTGAACAGAAACATCATCGAATGGAATCGAATGGAATCATCAAATGGAATTGAACAGAATCATCATCGAATGGAATCATCAAATGGAATCAAAGGCAATCATCATCGAATGGAATCAAAGGGAATCATCAAATGGAATCGAAGGGAATCATTGTCAAGTGGAATCGAGTGGAATCATCGAATGGAATCAAATGGAATCATTGTCGAATGACATGGAATGGAATCAATGAATGGAATTGAATGGAATGGATTCATCATCGAATGGAATCAAATGGAATCACCAAATGCACTCGAATGGAATCATTATCGAATGGAATTGTGTGAAATCATCTAATGGGCACGAATAGAATCATCATAGAATGGAATCGAATGGAATCATCTAATGTACTCGAATGGAATCGTCATTGAATGGAATAGAGTGGAATCATCTAATGGAATCGAATGAAATCAACATCATATGGAATCGAGTGGAATCATTGAATGGACTTGAATGTAATCAGCGGAGAATGGAAGCAAACGGAATCATCAAATGGACTCGAATGGAATCACCAACGAATGCAATCGAATGGAATCATCAAATGTACTCGAATGGAATAATCATCAAATATCAAAAGCAATCATCAAATGGATTCGAATAGAATCATTGAATGGATTCGAATGGAATCATCATAGAATGGAATCAAATGGAATCATCAAATGGACTCGAATGAAATCATCATCGAATGGAATCAAATGGAATCATCGGATGGACTCAAATGAAATCATCATTGAATGTAATCGAATGGAATAATCGAATGGAATCAAATGGAATAATCATCAAATGGAATCGAATGGAATCACTGAATGGACTCGAATGGAATCATCATCAAATGGAATCGAATGGAATCATCTAATTCACTCAAAAGGAATCATCATTGAATGAAATCGAATGGAATCACCAAATGGACACGAATGGAATCATCATCGAATAGAATTGAATGGAATCATCGAATGGACTCTAATGGAATATCATTCAATGTGATCAAAAGTATTCATCAAATGGACTCAAATGAAATTTTCGAATGGACTCCATTGGAACCATCGAATGGACTCAATTGGAATAATCGATTGGACTCAAATGGAATTACCGAATTTGCTCGAATGGAATCATCAAATGGAGTTGAATGGAATCATTATTGAATGGAATCAAACGGAATCTTCGAATGGAATCTAAAGGAATCATCAAATGGAATCAATCAGAATCA
This sequence comes from Homo sapiens, assembly GCF_000001405.40. Classification (NCBI taxonomy): domain Eukaryota; kingdom Metazoa; phylum Chordata; class Mammalia; order Primates; family Hominidae; genus Homo; species Homo sapiens. The sequence continues at coordinate 61,044,824 of NC_000007.14, forward strand.
TCAGCGAGTAGAACCAAATGGAATCATCAAACGGAATAGAATGCTGTCATCATCGAATGGAATCGAATGGAATCATCGTCAAAAGTAATCAAATGGAATCATCTAATGGAATCAAATTGAATCATCGAATGGAATTGAATAGAATCAGCATCGAATGAAATCTAATGGAATCATCATCGAATAGAATCGAATGGAATCATTGAATGGAATCTTCATCAAATGGAGTCCAAAGAAATCATCAAATGGACTCGAATGGAATCATCACAGAATGGAATTGAATGGAAACATCGATTGGAATCATCGAACGGAATCATCATCAAATGGAATAGAATGGTATCATCGAATGCACTCGAATGGAATCATCAATGAATGGTATTGAATGGTATCATCGAATGGACTCGAATGGAATCATTTTCCATTGGCATCGAATGGGATCACCGAATGGACTCGAATGGAATAATGTTCGAAAGGAATCGAATGGAATCTTCGAATGGAATCGAATGGAATCATCATGGTATGGAATTGAATGGAATCGTCAAATGGACTGGAATGGAGACATCATTGTATGGAATCGAATGGAATCAACGTATAGAATTGAATGGAATCGTCGAATGGACTGGAATGGAATAATCATTGTACGGAATTGAATGGAATCAACGAATGGATTCGAAAGGAATCATCATCGAATGGAGTCAAATGAAATAATCATTGAATGGAATAAAAAAGAATCAACATCAAATGGAGTCGAATGGAAACATCATCAAATGGAATACAAAGGAATAATCAAGGAATTGAACCAAATGGAGTCATCAGTGAATGGAAGCAAAAGGAGTCATCATCAAATGGAATCACATGGAATCATCATCTAATGGAATCAAATGGAATCAGTATCAAATGGTCTCGAATGGAATCATTATCAAATGGAATTGAAAGGAATCACCAAATAGAATCGAATGTGTTAATCATTGAATGGACTCAAATGGAATAATCATCATATGGAATTGAATGGAATTATCCAATGGAATTGAATAGAATCATTGAATGGAGTCAAATGGAATCATTGAATGGACTTGAATGGAATCCTAATCAAATGGTATCGAATGGAATCATTGAATGGACATGAATGGAATAATCATCAAATGGAATCAAATAGAATCATCATTGGATGGAAATGAATGGAATCATCATCGAATGGAATTGAATGGAATCATCAAATGGAATCAGATGGAATCACCATCGAATCAAATAAAATAGAATCATCGAATGAAATTGAATGGAATCATCATTGAATGGACTCGAATGCAATTATCATCGAATGGACTCGAATGGAATAATCATCCAATGGAATCCAATGGAATCAACATCTAATGGAATCGAATGGAAACACCATCGAATTGAGTCGAATGGAATCCTCATGGAATTGAAACGAATAAACTCATCATCAAATGGATTTGAATGGAATCATCAGATGGAATTGATTGGAATCATCAGTGAATGGAATCGAAAGGAATCATTAAATGGAATCGAATGGAATCATCATCGCATGGAAATGAATGGAATCGTCATAGAATGGAATTGAATGGATTCATCAATAGGAATCATATTTCATTCTAATGGAATCATAGAATGGACTCTAATGGAATCATCGAGTGGACTTAAGTGGAATCATCATAGAATGGAATCGAATGCAATCATCCTATGGAATCGAATGGAATCATTATCGAATGGAATCAAATGGAATCATTGAATGAAATCTAACGGAATCAACAAATGGGATCAATCAGAATCTTCATTGAATGAAATCAAATGGAATCATTGAATGGAATTGAATGCAGTCATCATCGAATGGAATCAAATGGAATCATCATCAAATAGAATCGAATGGAATCATTGAATGGAATTGAATGGAGACATCGTCGAATGTAATAGAATGGAATGACAGAATGGAATCAATTGCAATCATCGAATGGAATTGAAAGGAATCAGCATCGAACAAAATTTAATGGAATCACCATCGAATAGAATCGAATGGAGTCATTGAATGAAATCGTCATCAAATGAGTCCAATGGAATCATCAAATGGACTCGAAAGGAATCATCAAATGGACTCGGATGGAATCATCGAATGGACACGAATCCAATCATCATCAAATGGAAACAAATGAAATCAACATTGGATGGAATGGATTGGAATCATCACTGAGTGCAATCGAATGTAATCATCGAATGGAATCAGATAGAATCATCATCAAATGGAATCTAATAGAAGCATTGAATGAAATCGAATGGAATCATCATCGAATGGACTCGAATGGAATCATCATCGAATGGACTCAAATGGAATCATCTTCGAATGGAATCGAATGGAATCATCATTGAATAGAATCGAATGGAGACATCATGGAATTGGATCAAATAGAATCATCATGGAATTGAAACGAATGGCTCATCATCGAATCGAATCAAATGGAATCATCATCGTATGGAATTGAATGGAATCATCAAATGGAAATGAATGGAATTATCATTGAATGGAATCAAATGAAACCATCGAATGAAATCGAATGGAATCATCACCGAATGGAATCGAATGGAATCATCATTGAATGGAATCTGATGGAATCATCAATGAACGGAATCGAATGGAATCATCATCAAGTGGAATCTAATGGAATCATGAACGAATGGAATCTAATGGAATCATTGAAAGGAATCCAATGAAATCATCATCAAATAGAACTGAATGGAATCATCGAGTGGACTCAAATGGAATCATCATCAAATGGACTTGAAAGGAATCACCATCGAATGGAATGGAAAGGAACCATCATCGAATGGAATCAAAAGTAAGAGTCAAGGAATGGAATCAAATGGAATCCTCGAATGGAAAAAAATGGAATCATCATCAAATGGAATTGAATGAAATCATAGAATGGACTCTAAAGGAATCATCATCGAATGGAATCGAATGGAAACACCCGATGAACTCGAATGGAATTATCATTGAATGGAATCGAATGGATACATCGAATGGAAACGAATGGAATCATCATCAAATGAAATCGAATGGAATCATCGAATGGACTAGAATGTAATCATCATTGAATGGAATTAAAACAATCATTGAATGGACTCATATGAAATCATCATCAAATGGAATAGAATGGAATACTCAAATGGAATTGAACGGAATTCTCGAATGGCATTGAATGGAATCATCATCCAATGGAATTATCGAATGGAAACGAATCTAATCATCGTCCAATGAAATCTAATGGAAACTTCGAATGGCATCATAAGGAATCATCATCAAATGGAATCAAATGGAATCATCTAGCGGGCTCGTATGGAATCATCATCAAATGGAATCGAGTGGAATCATCGAATGGACACGATTGGGATCATCATCAAATGCAATCAAATGGAACCATAAAATGAAATCGATTAGAATCATTACGGAATGGAATCGAATGGAATCATCGAATGGAATAGAAGGGAATCATCATCAAATGGTATCAAATAGAATCATCAAATGAAATCGAATGGAATCATCATCAAATGGAATCGAATGGAATCATCATCGAATGTAATCGAATGGAATAATCATCAAATGGAATCGAATGGAATCTTCAACAAATGGAATAGCATTGAATCATCGAATAGAATCTAATGGAATCGTCATCACCTGGAAACGAATGGAATCATCATGGAGTGGAAATGAGTGGAATCATCATCGAATAGAATCCAATGTGATCATCATCGAATGGAATTGAATGGAATCATCATCAAATGGAATCGAAAGGAATCATCGAATTGGAATGAAAGGAATCATCAAATGGAATCGAATTGAATCATCAAATGGAATCGAATGGAATCATCATCAAATGGAATCTTATGGAATCATCGAAAGGACTCGAATGGAACCATCGTCGAATGGAACAGAATGGTATCATCGAATAGACACAAATGGAATCATCATTGAATGTGATCAAATGGAATCCTCGAATGTACCCGAATGGAAACATCTTCAATTGGAAACAAATGGAATCATCGAATGGAATAAAATAGAATCATCAATGAATGGAATCTAAGGGAATAATAGAATGGAATCGAATGGAATCATCATTCAATTTAATCTAATGGAATCATTGAAAGGACTCGAATGGAATCATCATTGAACGGAATCAAATGGAATCATAGAATGGCATCGAATGGAATCATCATAGAATGGAATTGAAGGTAATCATCGAATGGACTTGAATGGAAATATCATCAAATGGAATCGAATGGAATCTTCGAATGGACTCGATTGGAATCATCACCGAATGCAATCGAATGGAAATATCATCGAATGGAATCAAATGGAATCATATTCGAATGGAATCGAATTGAATCATAAATGAATGGAGTCAAATGGAATCATCGTCGAATGGAATCGAATGGTATCATCATCAAATGGAATCGAATGGAATCATCATCCAATGGAATTGAATGGAATCATCCAATGGAATAGAATTGAATCATCATCAAATGGAATCGGATAGAATGATCAAATGAAATCGAATGGAATCATCATCGAATGGAATAGAATGGAATCATCAACGAATGGAATTCGATGTAATCATCATCGAATTGAAACCAATGATTTCATTAAATGGACTCGAATGGAATCATAGAATGGACTCGAATGGGATATCATCGAATGAAATAGAATGCAATCATCGAATGGAATCGAATGGAATCATCATCGAATGAAATCAAAGTCAATGATTGAATGGACCTGAATGGAATCATCATCGAATGGAATCGAATGGAATCACCGAAAGTACTCGAATGGAATCATCATCAAATGGAATCGAAGGGAATCACTGTTAAGTGGAATCTAGTGGAATCATCAAATGGAATCAAATGGAATCATTGTCGAATGGCATGGAATGTAATCAATGAGTGGAATTGAATGGAATCACCAAGGAGTTGAATGGAATGGAATCATCATCGAATGGAATTAAATGGAATCATCAAATGCACTTGAATGGAATCATTATCAAATGGAATCATATGAAATCATCTAATGGGCACGAATAGAATCATCATCGAATGGAATCTAATGGAATCATCTAATGTACTCGAATGGAATAGTCATTGAATGGAATAGAATGGAATCATCGAATGAAATTGAATGGAATTATCATCATATGGAATCGAGAGGAATCATGAAATGGACTCGAATGTAATCATCGGAGAATGGAATCAAATGGAATCATCAAATGGACTCGAATGGACTCACTGAATGGACTCGAATGGAATCATCATGGAATGGAATCAAATGGAATAATCGAATGGAGATGAATGGAATCATCATCGAATGGAATCGAATTGAATCATCGAATGAAATCAAATGGAATCATCATCGAATGGATTCGAATGGAATCATCATTGAATGGAATTGAAATTACTCATCATCGAATGGAATCCAATGGAATTATGATCTACTGGAATCGAATGGAATCATCAACGAATTCAATTGAATGGAGAAATCGAATGGAATCCATTGGAATCGTCATCGAATTGAACCGAAGGCAGTCATCATCAAATGGAATCGAATGGAATCATCATCAAATGGAATCAAAAGGAATCATCTTTGAATCAAATAGAGTGGTATCATCGAATGGAATAGAATGGAATCATCATCGAAAGAAATCGAAGGGAATCATCAAATGGAATCGAACAGAATCATCTAATGGAATCGAATGGAGTAATCATCGAATGGAATCAAATGGAATCATCGAATAGACTCGAATGGATAATCGAATGGACTTGAATGGAATCATCAAATGGAATTGAATGGAATAATCGATTGGACTCGAATGGAATCATTGTCAAATGGTATCGGATGGAATCAATGAAGTGACTCGAATGGAATCATCGAATGGACGCGAATGGAATCATCGAATGGAATTCATAGGAATCATCATGGAATGGAATCGAATGGAATCATGATCGAATGGGATTGAATGGAATCATCATCGAATGAAATTGAATGGAATCATCATTGAATGGAATCCAATGGAATCATTGATGAATGGAGTCGAATGGAGTCATCAAATGGAGTCCTTTGGAATCATCATCAAATGGAACTGAATGCACTCAGCATCAAATGGAATCAAATGGTATCATCAAATGGACTCAATGGAATCATCATCACATGGAATCAAATGGAATCATCTAATCGACTCAAATGGAGTTATCTTTTGGTGGAATCGAATGGAATCATCGAATGCACTCGAATGGAATCATCATTGAATGGCATCGAAAGGAATCATCGAATGGACTTGAATGGAATCATTGAATGTACTCGAATGGAATCATCATTGAATGGAATCGAATGGAATCATCGAATAGACACTAATGGAATCACCATCGAATGGAATCGAATGGAATCATCATTGAATGGAATTGAATGGAATTGTCATTGAATGGAATCGATTGGAATCATCATCAAATGGAATCTAATGGAATCATCATTTAATGGAAAAGAATGGAATCATCAATGAATGGAATCAAATGGAGAAATCAAATGTAATCCATTGAAATCATCATCAGATGGAACCAAATGCAGTCATCATTGAATGGAATCGAATGGAATCATCAAATGGACTAGAATGAAATCATCATCAAATGAAATTGAATGGAATCATCGAATGGACTCAAATGGAATGACCATCAAATGGAATCGAATGGAATCATCGAATGGACACAAATGGAATCATCATTGAATGGAATCGAATGGAATCATTGAATGCCTTCCAATGGAATCATGATCGAATGGAATCTAATGGCATCATTGAATGGACTCGAATGGAATCATCGAGTGGACTTGAGTGAAATCATCATGGAATGGAATCGAATGTATACATCGAATGGACTCGAATAGAATCATAATCGAATGGAATTTAATTAAATCATAATCGCATGGAATTGAATGGAATCATCATTGAATGGAGTCAAATGGAATCATAATTTAATAGAATCGAATGGAATCACCGAATTGAATCAAATGGAATGATCATTGAATGGAATCAAAAGGATTCATCAAATGGGATCGAACAGAGTCATCGAATGGAATCGCTTGGAATCATCGAATGGATTCGAATGGAATCATCATCGAATGGAATCGAATGGAATCATCGAAGGGAATCAGATGGAATCATGAATGAATGGAATTGAATAGAATCATCAAATGAAATCGAATGGAATCATCATCAAACGGACTCGAATGGAATCATCATCGAATGGACTCGAATGTAATCATCATAAAATATAATCTAAAGAAATCAACATCAAATGGAATCAAATGGAAACACCATCGAATTGAATCGAATGGAATCATCATGGAATTGAAACGAATGGACTAATCATCAAATGGATTCCAATGGAATCATCAAAAGGAATTGATTGGAGTCATGATCAAATGTAAAAGAATGGAATCATTAAATGGAATCGAATAGAATCATCATCAAATGGAAACGAATGAAATCATCATAGAATGGAATCGAATGGATTTATCGAATGGAATGAGATGGAATCACCATCGAATAGAATAGAATAGAATCATTGAAAGAAATCGAATGGAATCAACATCGAATGGAGTTGAATACAATCATCATCTAATGGACTCAAGTGGAATAATCATCCAATGGAATCGAATGGAATCAACATCGAATGGAATTGAATGGAAAAACCATCAAATTGAATCGAATGGAATCACCATGTAATTGAAATGAACGGACTCATCATCAAATCGATTCGAATGGAATCAACGAATGGAATTATTTGGAATAATCATCGAATGGAATCAAATGGAATCATTGAAAATAATCGAATGAAATCATCACTGAATGGAATCGAATGGAATCATCAAATGGATTCGAATGCAATCATCGACTGGACTCGAATGGAATCATCATCGAATGGAATCAGACAGACTCATTGAATGGCCTTGAATGGAATCATTAAATGGACTCGAATGGAATCATCATTGAATGGAATTGAATGGAATCATCGAGTGAAATCGAATGGAATCATCATCGAATGGAACTGAATAGAATCGGTATCAAATAGAATTGAATGGAATCATCATCGAATGGAACTGAATAGAATCGGTATCAAACAGAATCGAATGGAATCATCATCCAATGGCATCAAATGGAATTTTCTTCAAATGGAATCGAGTGGAATCATCATCGAAGAGAAATGACTGGGTTCATTGAATGAAATCGAATGGAATCATCATCAAAAGAATCGAAGTAAAACAAAGAATGGAATACAAAGGAACCATCGAATGGAATCGAATGGAATCACCATCAAAAAGAATCGAAGTAAAACAAAGAATGGAATACAAAGGAATCATCGAATGGAATCGAATGGAATCATCATTGAATGGACTCGAATGGAGTCATAATCGAATGGTATCGAATGGAATCATTTAATGGACTTGAAAGGAATCATCAAATGGACTCGAATGGAATCATTGAATGAAATCAAATTTAATTATCATCAAATGAAATCAAATGGAACCATCAAATGGACTCAAATGGAATCATCATCGAATGGAGTCGAATGAAATCATGGAATGCACTCAAATTTAGTCATCGAATGGACTCAAATGGAATCAATGTCGAGTGGAATCGAAAGGAAACATCGAATGGAATTGAATGGAATCAACGAATGGAATCGAATGGAATCATCATCGAATGGACTTGAATGGAATCGTCATGGAATGTAATCGAATGGAATCTTCAAATGGAATCAAATGGAATCCTCATAGAATGCAATCGAATGGAATCATCATCGAATGGAATTGAATTTAATCATCAAATGGAATAAAATTGAATAATCATCGAATGGAATCAAATAGAACCATTGAATGAAATCAAACGGAATCATCTTCTAATGGAATCGAATGGAATCATCAATGAATTGAATCGAATGGAAACATAGAATGGAATCCAAAGTAATCATCATCAAATTGAACCCAATGTAATCATTAAATGTACTCAAATGGAATCATCAAATGGACTCGAATGGAATCATCAACGAATGGAATCGAATGGAAACATAGCATGGAATCCAAAGTAAACGTCATCAAATTGAACCCAATGTAATCATTAAATGGTCTCGAAATGAATCATCGAATAGACTCAAATGGAATCATCATCGAATGGAATAGAAAGGACTCATTGAATGCAATCGAAGGCAATCATCACCAAATGAAATCAAACGCACATAAATGGAATCATCATGGAATGGAAACGAATGGAAGCGTCGAATGGAATCGAATGGAATCATCATTGAATGGAATGGAATGGAATCGTCAATGAATGGAATCGAATGGAATCATCATCGAATGGAATCTAATGGAATCATCATGTAACAGAATCGAATGGAATGATCAACGAATGGAATCAAATGGAGAAATCGAATGGAATCCGTTGGAATCATCATAAATGGAATCGAAAATAGTCGTCATCTAATGGAATCGAATGAAATCATCATTGAATGGAATCGAAAGGGATCATCATCAAATGGAATCGAGTGGAATCATCAGATGGACTCGAATGGAATCATTGAATGGCCTCGAATGAAATCATCTAATGGACTCGAATAGAATAATAATTGGATGGAATCTTATGGAATCCTTGAATAGAATCAAATGGAATCATGAAATGGAATTGAACGGTAACATCAACGAATGGAATTGAATAGAATCATTGAATGGAATCGAAGCAATCATCATCTAATGGAATCAAGTGGAATGATCGAATGGAATTGAAGGGAATCATCATCAAGTGGAATCGAGGGGAATCTTCGAATGGAATTGAATGGAATCATTGTCGAATGGAATCAAATGGAATCAGTGAATTGAATTGAATGGAATCACCAATGAATAGAATTGAATGGAATCATCATCTAATGGAATCGAATGGAATCTTCGAATAGACTCGAACGCAATCATCATCGAATGGAATCTTGTGGCATAATCTAATGGGCACGAATAGAATCATCATCGAATGGAATCAAATGGAATCATCTAATGTACTCGAATGGAATCATCATTGAATGGAATAGAATGGAATCATCGAATGGAATCGAACAGAATCATCATCGAATGGAATCCTGTGGAATAATCTAATGGGCACAAATAGAATCATCATTGAATGGAATCGAATGGAATCATTGAATGGACTCGAATGGAATCATGATTGAATGGAATCAAATGCAATCATCTAAAGGAATCGAATGGAATCATAATCGAATGAAAACGGATGGAATCATTGAATGACATCAAATGGAATCATCTTCGAATGGAATCGAATGGAATCATCGAATAGACTCGAATGCAATCATCAGCGAATGGAATTGAATGGAATCATTGAATGGGCTCCAATGGAATCATCGTCAAATGAAATTGAATGGAATCATCATAGAATGGAATCGAATGGAATCATTGAATGCAATCAAATGGAATCATAATCGAATATAATCGAAAGCAATCATCAAATTGATTCGAATAGAATCATCGAATGGCTCGAATGGAATTATCATCGAACGGAATCAAATGGAATCATCTAATGTACTCGAATGGAATCATCCTTGAATGTAAACAAATGGAATCACTGAAATGAATCGAATGGAATCATCATCGAATGGAATCAAAGGGAATCCATAAATGAACTCTAATGGAATCATCATCGAATGGAATTGAATGGAATCATCGAATGGATTCAAAAGGAATCATCTTCAAATGAAATTGATTGGAATCACTGAATGGACACGAATGGAATCATGATCGAAGGGAATCAAATGGAATCATCGAATTGACTCGAATGAAATCATCGTCAAATGTAATTGAAAGCAATCATCGAATGGATTCAAATGGAATTATGAAATTGACTCGAATGGAATCATCGAATGCACTCCAATGGAATCATCGAATGGAATCTAATGGAATAATCCAATGGATTCTAACGGAATCGTTGAATGGAAATGAATGGAATCATTGAAAGGACTCAAATGGAATTATCAAATGGGCTCAAATGGAATCATCGAATGGACTCGAATGTAATCATTATTGAATGGAATTGAATGGAATCACTGAATAGAATTGCTTGGAATCATCATCGAATGGAATCAAATAAAATCATCGAATGGAATGGAATGCAGTCATCATCGAATGGAATTGAATGGAATAATCATTGAATAGAATAGAATGGAATCGTCGAATGGAAACGAATGGAATCATCATCAAATGGAATCGAATGGAATCCTCGAATGGAATCCAATGGAATCATCATCGAATGGAATCGAATGGAATCATTATGGAATAGAATTGAATGGAATCATTAAATGGAATCATCATCAAATGGAGTCCAATAGAATCATCGAATTGACTCGAATGGAATCATCATTGAATGGAATCGAATAGAATCATCGAATGGAATCAAATGGAATCATCATCAAATGGAATCAAATGATATCATTGAATGCACTTGAATGGAATCATCAACAAATGGAATTGAATGGTATCATTGAATGGAATCGAATGGAATCATCATCGAGTGGAATCTAAAGGATTCACTAAGTGGACTCCAATGGAATAATCATCAAATGGAATCGAATGGAATCTTCGAATGTACTCGAATGATATCATCGAATGGAGTAGAATGGAATCATCAAATGGATTCGAATGGAATAGTCATCAAATGGAATCAATTGAAATGATCGAATGGACTCGAATGGAATCATCATCGAATGGATTTGAATGGAATCATCAAATACACTCATATGGAATCATCATCAAAAGGAAATGAATGGAATCATCAAATGGACACGAATGGAATCATTGTTGAAAGGAATCATATGGAATCATCGTTGAATGGAATCATATGGAATCATCGAATGGGCTCAAATGCGATCATCAAATGGACTCGAATGGAATCATCATCGAATGGAATCAAATAGAATCATCGAATTGACTCTAATGGAGTGATCAAAAGGACTCGAAAAGAATTATCAAATGGACTCGAATGGAATCATCAAATGGATCCTAATGGAATTAACATCAAATGGAAAAGAATGGAATCATCAAATGGACTTGTATGGAATCATCGAATGGACTCGAATGGAATCATCAAATGGACTTGAAAGGAATTATCGAATGGACTCAAATGGCATCATCTAATGGACCCTAATGGAATCATCATTGAATGGAAAAGAATGGAATCATCCAATGGACTCGAATGGAATCATCATCGAATGGAATCGAATGGATTCATCGAATGTACTCGAATGGAATCATCATCGAATGGAATCTAATGGAATCATCAAATTGACTCGAATGGAGTCATCATCAAATGGCATTGAATGGAATCATCAAATGGACTCGAGTGGAATCATTGTCAAATGAAATCAAATGGAATCATCGAATGGACTTGAATGGAATCATCATCGAATGGAATCGAATGGAATGATCAATTGGACTCCAATGGAATCATCAAATGGACTAGAATGGAATCATCATCGAAAGGAATCAAATGAGATCATCATTAGATGGAATCAAATGGAATCATCACTGAATTGAATCGAATGGAATCATTGAAGAGAATGAGATGGAATCATCATCAAAAGGAATCAAATAGAAGCATTGAATGAAATCGAATGGAATCATAATCAAACAGAATCGAATGGAATCATCATCAAATGGACTCGAATGGAAACATCGTTAAATGGAATCAAGTGGAATCATCATGGAATTGAATCGAATGGTTCATCATCAAATGGAATCGAATGGAATCATTGAATGGAATCCAATGGATTAATCATCTTATGGAATCGAATGGAACCATCAAATGAAATCGAATGGAATGATCTTTGAATGGAGTCGAATGGAATTATCATAAAATGGAATCTAATGGAATCATCAACAAACGGAATCAAAAGGAATCATCATCGAATGGAATAGAATGGAATCATCAATGAATGGAATCGAATGGAATCATCACAGAAAGGAATCGTAGGGAATCATTTAAAGGAATCGAACGGAATCATCAAATGGAATCATCATCGAATGGAATTGAATGGAATCATCAAATGGACATGAATGGAATAATCAAATGGACTCGAATGGAATCATTGAATGGAAGAAAATGGAATCATAGATTGGACTCGAATGGAATCATCATCAAATGGAATCAGATGGAATCAACAAAGGGATTTGAATGGAATAATCGAATGGATTCGAATGGAATCAGCATCAAATGGAATCGAATTGAATCATTGAATGGACTCGAATGGAATCATCATCGAATGGAATCAAATGAAATCATCATCAGATGGAATCGAATGGAATCGAATGGAATCATCACTGAACGGAAATGAATGGAATCATCAAATGGACTTGAATGGATTAATCGAATGGACTCGAATGGAATCATAGAATGTAATCAAATGGAATCTTTGAATGGACTCGAATGGAATGATCATCAAATGGAATCAGATGGAATCAGTGAAGGGGCTTGAATGGAATCATTGAATGGACTCAAATGCAATCATCATTGAATGGAATCAAATGGAATTATCAAATGGAATCGAATGGAATCATCATGGAATGAAATCCAATAGAAGCATCGAATGGAATCAAATGGAATCATAGAATGGAATCAGACGGAATCGTCATCGAATGGATTCAAATAGAAGCATCGGATGAAATGGAATGGAATCATCATCAAACTGACTCATATGGAATCATCATCAAATGGACTCGAAAGGAATCATCGTCGAATGGATTCCAATGGAATCATCATCGAATGGAATGGAAGGCAAACATCATCTAATGGAATCACATAGAATAATCATGGAATAGAATTGAATTGCTCACCATCGAATGGAATCAAATGGAATCATCAAATGGAATCGAATGGAATCATCATCGAATTGAATTGAATGGAGTCATCATCGAATGGAATAAAATGGAATCATCCAATGGAAGAGAATGGAATCATCATTGAATGGAATCGAAAGGAATCATCATCGAATGGAGTCAAATGGAATCATCCAATATAATAGTATTGAATCACCATCGAATGGAATCGAATAGAATCATCAAATGAAATCAAATGGAATCATCATCGAATGGAATCAAAACGTCAATGAATGGAATCAAATGGAATCATAGAATGGAATCAAATGGAATCATCATCGAATTGAACCCAATGAATTCATTAAAAGGACTCGAATGGAATCATTGAATGGACTCAAATGGAATCATCATAGAATGGAATAGAATGGAATCATCGAATGGAATCAAATGGAATCATCATCAAATGAAATCAAATGGAATCATCGAATGGACTCGAATGGAATCATCATCAAATGGAATTGAATGGAACCATTGAATGAACTCGAATGGAATCATCATCGAATGGAATTGAATGGAATCATCGAATGGACTCGAATGGAATCATCATCAAATGGAATTGAATGGAATCATCGAATGGACTTGAATGGAATCATCATTGAATGGAATTGAAAGGGATTATCAAATGGACTTGAATAGAATCATTGAATGGACTCGAATGGAATCATCATCGAATGAAATCGAATGGAATCACCAAATGGACACGAATGGAATCATCATCTAATAGCATCGAATGGAATTATCGAATGGACTCAAATGGAATATCATCGAATGGAATTAAAAGCAATCATTCAATGGACTCCAAAGGAATTATCGAATGGACTCAAATGGAATCATTATCGAATGGACTCAAATGGAATGATAGAATGGTCTCGAATGGAATCATCAATTAGACTCAAATGGAATTATCGAATATCCTCGAATGGAATAATCGAATTTACTCGAATGGAATCATTATCGAATGGAATCAAATGGAATCATCAAATGGAATTGAATGCAGTCATCAAATGCAATTGATCAGAATCATCATCGAATGCAATCAAATGGAATCATCAAACGGAATTGAATGCAGTCATCATTGAATGGAATCGAGTGGAATCATCTTCAAATAGAATCGAATGGAATCATCGAACAGAAGTGAATGGAATCATCATCAAATGTAATCGAATGGAATCATTGAATGGAATCAAATGGAATCATCGAATGGAATTGAATTGAATCAGCATCAAATGAAATCGAATGGAATCATCATAGAATAGAATCAAATGGAATCATAGAATGGAATCATCATCAAATGGAGTCCAATGGAATCATCAAATGGACTCGAATGGAATAACCATCAAAAGGAATCAAATGGAATCATTGAATGGAATCGAATGGAATCTTCACTGAATGGACTAGAATGGAATCATCAAATAGACTAGAATGGAATCATCATCGTATGGAATCGAATGGAATCATCGAATGGAACTGAATGGAATCATCATCGAATGTAATCAAATGGAATCATCATCGAATGGAATCAAATGGAATCATCATCAAATGGATCACCATCGAATGGAATCGAAATGAATTAACATCAAATGTAGTGGAATGGAATCATTATCGAATGGAATCCAAAGGAATCATCATCGAATGGAACCGAATGGAATCGTCATTGAATGGAACCGAAAGGGGTCATTAACGAATGGAATTTCATGGAATCATCATCGAATGAAATCGAATGGAATCATCATCAAATGGAATCTAATGGAATCATCGAATTGAATTGAATGGAATCATCATTGAATGAATTGAATGGAATCATTGAATGGTCTCGAATGGAATTATTATCAAATGGAATCAAAAGTATTCACCAAATAGAATTGAATGGAATAATCATCGAATGGACTCGAATGGAATTTTCAACAAACGGAATGGAATGGAATCATCATCAAATAGAATCGAATGGGATCATCAAATGAAATCGAATGGAATCATCACCAAACGAATCGAAATAAAACAAAGAATGGAATCCAATGGTATCATTGAATGGAATCAAATGCAATCATCATTGAATGGACTTGAATGGAGTCATCATCGAATGGAAATGAATGGAATCATTTAATGGACTCGAATGTAATCATTGAAGGCACTCGAATGGATTCAACGAATGGAATTGAGTGGAATCATCACCGAATGAAATCAAATGGAATCACCGGATGGACTCGAATGGAAATATCATTGAATGGAGTCGAATGAAATCACGGAATGCACTCAAATGGAACAATCGAATAGACTCAAATGGAATCAACATCAAGTGGAATTAAAAGGAAACATCAAATGGACTTCAATGGAATCATCGAATGGACTCGAATGGAATCATCAAATGGAATTGAAAATAATCTTCAAATAGACTTGAATGGAATCATTGAATGTACTCGAATGGAATCATCATCGAATGGAATCAAATGGAATCATCGAATGGACCTGAATGGAATCACCATTGAATGGAATCAAATGGAATCATCGAATGGAATCTAATCGAATCATCAAATGGACCTGAATGGAATCACCATAAAATGGAATCAAATGGAATCATCAAATGGATTCTAATCGAATCATCGAATGGACCTGAATGGAATCACCATAAAATGGAATCAAATGGAATCATCGAATGGAATCCAATGGAATCATCATTGAATGGAATTGAATGGAAAAGTCATTGAATGGAATTGAATGGAATCATCATCGAATGGAATATAATGGTATCATCATCAAATGGAAAAGAATGGAATGATCAACGAATGGAATCAACTGGAGAAATTGAATGAAATCCATTAGAATCATCATCAGATGGAACCGAATGCAGTCATCATCGAATGGAATCAAATGGAATCATCAAATGGATTAGAAGGGAATCATCATAGAATGGAATTGAATGGAATCACTGAATGGGCTCGAAAGGAATCATCATCAAATGGAATCGAATGGAATCATTGAATGGACACGAATGGAATCATTGTTGAATGGAATTGAATGGAATCGTCAAATGGCACTGAATGGAATCATCATTAAATGGAATCTAATGTAATCATCGAATGGACTCGAAAGGAATCATCAAATGGACTTGAGTGGAATCATCATCGAATGGAATCAAATGGAATCATTGAATGGACTTGAATGGAATCTTCATCGCATGGAATTGAATGAAATCATAATCGAATGGAATCTAATGGAATCATCATCAAATGGAATCATCATTGAATACAATCGAATGGAATCACTGAATTGAGTCAAATGGAATGATCATCGAATGGCATTAAAGGGAATCATGGAATGGGATCGAATGGAGTCATCGAATGGAATCAAGTGGAATCATCGAATGGATTCGAATGGAATCATCATCGAATGGAATCGAATGGAATCATCGAATGGACTCGAGTTGAATCAATATTGAATGAAATCGAATGGAATAATCGAATGGACACAAATGCAATCATCATTGAATGGAATCGAATGAAATCATCATCGAAAGGAATCTAATGGAATCATCGAATGGAATCGAATGGAATCATCATCAAATATACTCAACCGGAAACATTGATTGTAATCGAATATAATCATCATCGGATGTAAAAGAATAGAATAATGAAACGGAATTGACTTGAATCAACATCACATGGAATTGAATGGAATCATAGAAAGGTATCGAATCTAATCATCATCAGATGGAATCAAATGTAATCATCATCAAATGGAATCCAAAGCAATTACTGAATGGACTTGAATAGAATCATTGAATGGAGTTGAAAGGAATCATTATCAAATGGAATAGAATGAAATCATTGAATGGACTCGAATGGAATCATCATCAAATGGAATCGAATGAAATCATCGAATTTACTCAAATGGAATCATCGTCATATGGAATCGAATGTGATCATCTTCAAATGGAATCATCGAATGGACTCGAATGGAATGAGCACACCGACTTGAATGGAATCATCAAAAGGAGTCAAATGAAATCATCACATGGACTCGAATGCAATTATCAAATGCACTCGAATGGAATCATCGAATGGACTCTAATGGAATCATCATCGAATGGAATCAAATGGAATCATCAAATGTACACGAATGGAATCATTGAATGGACTCGAATGGAATCATCGAATGCACTCAAATGGAATAATCATTGAATGTGATCAAATGGAATCATCAAATGGAATCGAAAGGAATCATCTTTGAACAGAACCGAATGGAATCATTGAATGGAATCAAAGTCAATCATTGTCGAATGGAATCAAATGGAAATATCATCGAATAGAATTGAATGGAATCATCAAAAGAAATCAAATGGAATCATCGTAAATGGAATCAAGTGGAATCATCGAATGGAATCTAATGGAATCATTGTCGAATGGAATGGAATGGAATAACTGAATGGAATTGAATGGAATCAGCAATGAAGGGAATCAAATGGAATCATTGTCAAATGGAATCAAGTGGAATCATCGAATGGAAACTAATGGAATCATTGTCGAATGGAATGGAATGGAATCATTGAATGGAATTGAATGGAATCACCAATGAATGGA